>NW_003315958.1:0-167950 GCF_000001405.40 Homo sapiens | reverse complement strand
GAATTCTCTTTGTAAAAGTTCCTTGGACTCAACAGTAGGATACTAAGTGGACATATTTATCTGTTGTTCATTGGTTTGTTCAGGGTGAGCTGGAATATGTAATACCAAGTAAATGATAAAGATCCGCACAGCTCAGGAAGGTAGTGTCACCTTCCAACTGCCTGTTTTCAATGCACTGAAAAGAAGCTTCTGAGCACCATCGCCTCATCCTCCAGCGGCCCCAGCTCCCCACCTGCAGCAAACACCTGCACACAGGTCCCCCACACACCCTCTGGCCCTGCAGTCCCATCCTCAGGGTTGTGCACACAGGTGCCCCCACACACCCTCTGGCCCTGCAGTCCTATCCTCAGGGTTGTGCACACAAGTGCCCCGTACGCACCCTCTGGCCCTGCAGTCCCGTCCTCAGGGTTGTGCACACAGGTGCCCCCGCACGCACCCTCTGGCCCTGCAATCCTGTCCTCAGTGTTGTGCACACAGGTGCCCCCGCACGCAACCTCTGGCCCTGCAGTCCTGTCCTCAGGGTTGTGCACACAGGTGCCCCCACACACCCTCTGGCCCTGCAATCCTGTCCTCAGCGTTGTGCATTCTGAAGGATAAGTGGGAGGGGGCATGTCCTGGGACCCCCATCTGCAGGAATGTGATGAGCTTCAGGAAGGGCAGCCATATGAAAGCCTCCCTCTATGAAAAAGGAGTGCCCAGGAGACATCAGCTATGTTTAGAAGCAGGAGGAAGATGAAAAACCAAAGTGTTAAAACAGGCATACGCAGGAAACCCGCTTTCTCCCCTTCCCTGGGTTGATGATGACCGGGACAGTCACGCTTGGATGAAAGGTCTCCCTGGAGGTTGTCTTCACCATAGGCCGGGGTCCCGGAGTGTGCGGAGCGATCATGGTGGGCACTGATCTGAGGAGAACAGGCCGCCCGGCCGAGGAGAGGGGCCTCTCCAGGTGAGTCCTCCAGGCCTGCGGGGAGGTGAGTGAGAGCCTCTCTGGGCTAGTGGACACGCCTTCTTTTCTACAGGGTGGTCATTTCACATTGTGTGGCTGCAAACACCCATCTTTGCCTGTGGGCAAGCAAACAGATTTGGAAAGGGGGTCTAGCTTGGCTTCCCAGGGCATTGGCAGAAGGCAGGTGACCCTGCGTGTTTGAGAAAACAACCACAATTCATATTAACACCAATGATGCCACGTTTCCTAATGTGCTTCAGCGACAAACAATAGGAAGTTGTAAGTCCTCTGGGAACTGGCCAGCGCCTTAGTATCAGCTGTAAAAGTGACTTCCTATCTTTTGTGTGGGTCACACAAAGGAATGAGAGGAAATTAGTGATTGTGATAGCCAGTTCTTCCCATTCAAATGAAGAAATGGGGTTTCCAAACAGACACATACCACTTTTAAGCTTTCCTGAACAGCCATGTGGAGCAGATAGGGTTCTAAATTCTCATGCTTTGGGCTATTTTGGTGGTACCTTTATGAAAGAATAAAAGCATAGCATGTTCTTTGGTGCACATATATTTCCTTTAAGTAAGAGCCCGCCGGGACCACAGCGAGACTCCTGTTCTCAAGCCCCAGCCACAGCATCAGCATCGCGTGGACCCAGGCTCTGGAAATGAGAAAACAACTGTGTCAGCTCATGCGGCTGCAACACTTCTGATTTTCAAGGCTAAAAAAGTTGCTTTTCTAGAAATACATATGAAAGAAAATTCTGTTTCCAATAACCACCACCACACACCCCTAATGTGCATTTTGAAATTCCCTTGTTCAGGGTATATTGACTGGCATTAGATATATTGGTATATACAGAACATGCAAAATGATATCACTGTCTGTATCCCCCGATGCTGTGGACACCTCTAAAGATCTCGTCTGTTATGCTTCTCCTGGGTGTGTTTGGTGGAGAAGTGTGTAGAGGGAATTCAGTGTGGAACCTGAAAGCATAGGCTTCGAACTCAGGCAGAACTTGGATTTGAATCTTGTCTTTCATATAAATTATCTGTGTGACCATGGGCAACAGACTTAAAACTCTAATCTTCATGTTTCTCCTCTGCTGAGAGAAAAACACTCACTTCAGAAAGGTGCTGTGAAAGCTCTCACAGATGATGCAGAGCCTGTGGTTACCAAATATCAGCCATGATTGTTATTTGATTAATACTATCTGCTGTTCTCATTATATGAGGATGCATTATGGTGATTTTCAGTGAGATAAAATCACAGAAATTAAACAGTTGGGCTCTGCTCCTGGGCTTGGGGTGTCAGGAGGCCATCAGAGCTGAGAATGGGCGTCCATCCATCCTGGGCACTCTGGCAGCACATAGGCCCGGGGTGCCAACCTCTGCGGCTCTGCAGTGTGGAGCGTGAGGTTGAGGGGCTCCCAAAGCCGGCTTTGCCTTGGCAAAGGTCATGGATGCCCACTGCATCCTTCCCAGTTGCAGGTGAGGCTCCAGCAGCAGCCAGAGTGTGAGGGGAGTGGCATGAATAGGGCAGATGAGTCTCACAGAGCACCAGAGGGGACAGCTCCTAGAAGACCATGTGTGTGTGGGCACACGCGGCAGCCGCCCTCACTGGCCCAATGCACGCCAAGCCCTCTGAGCCCTGGCCTGGCCCAGATGACCCGCTTTAGGGCTGGCCCTGCCTCCACAGATGCGTGTTGGGTGCAGCTGGCTGGCTTCCCTGGGTGGTGTCAGAGCCCCATCTCCTATCCGCATCTCTGCAGCTCCTTTCCACCTTCCTCTCCTGGCTTCAGATACGGCTCTGAGGAAACCGGACCCTCACACCTCCATGAGCACTGCGCCTCTTTCTCAATGCTTCTTTGAACCTTTGCCGTGGACTGAGAGGGATTCTTTTGTGCTGACTGCAAATTTCTGAAACAAGCTCATGCAAATTTCCCACATTCTGCCTTTTACCAATCAGCTCACTCCTTCTCTAATTTCAGGCCAAACCCCAGGATCATGCAGAATGAGACAAAAGGTGGCGACTGAGGAGGCACGTCACCCACAAAGGTGGCGCTTCAGCCTCTGGGGCTTCAGGGGTGAGGCCATTTCTTGAACGCAGGTGATTTAGGAATCTGTTTTCATCCACCCGATAAAATGTACTAATCCCAAGAGAAAGACCTCATCCAACCTGGCTTTGATCTATTAGGGAGAACTTCTGGGATATTCTTTATTGCCCAGGTGATATGAAGAACAGCATGACATGGTGCCGAAGAGCAGTTACATGGACATTAGCATGGAGCACAGTGCCAGGCCTCTTTCTGTGGGCAGCAGGGCTCCATCCACACCCCTCCAGGCACCACTGGGACTTCCAAAATGGGGGTCTTCACTGCAGCAGGCTTCAGGGCTGTGGTGTTCATGGCTGTGGTCTTTGGGTTTGGCTGTGATGTTCATGGTCGTGGTATTCTGGGCTGTGGTCTTTGGGACTGTGGTGTTCATGGTCATGGTATTTAGGGATGTGGTGATCATGGTTGTGGAGATCGTAGTTGTGGTGTTCATGGCTGTGGTGATCATGGCTGTGGTGATCGTGGTTGTGATGTTCATGGTCATGGTATTCCGAGCTGTGGATCTTCACAGCCGTGCTCCTGGCTTTGGTCTTCAGGGCTATGTTTCTCATGGCTGAGATGGTCAGGAGGCCACATTTCTGGCTCTTCCTCCTTCTCCTCTTTGTTGGCATTGGCGGCTGCCCTGACCTTGCCCTGCCATGCATACTTCTTCCACTGTCTTCCAAGCCACCAGTCTGTGAGTAATTAGATGGGCAGGTGATGAAATCCTGGAAGACAGAAAGTCCTGATCCTCAAATGAGCACCATACACTGGACCCCCCAAGCAGCACAGTAAAGATCACGCCCAATTCCGAATCAGAAGACTCAAGATCCTTGCTTCTTAGATGCAAATAAGGTGGCTTAAAGTGATGGCTGAGAGCTCCTGATGTGAAGTTTAAGAGCCTGGACTCAAATCTTGACTGTGCTGCAGCAAGTTACGTGGCTTTGGGGAACTTAGCGCACCTCTCTCTGTGTCTTGTCTCATCTCCACAGGGTTGAAGAGAGCAATGACCTCCAGGGTTGTGAGGATTAAGTGAGATCATGGAAGGGCTCAGTCCTGTTAGAGCGTGAATCTTCTATATTTGTTAATTTTTACCTTTCATTTTGATCGTGATGTATTCCTAGTGCCAAGTGCACTGGTTTCTCAGAGTCACAGTTCCCCAGGCTTCTGGCTTCTCTGCCTCTACCTGTGGGGCTCAAGCCTGGCTTATGTGCTGGGCAGGGGGAGACTCGATGCCAACTCCTCCATTATCTTATTCTTCATTCTGTTAATTCAGGGTTCCTAAAACAGGCAAACAAACAAACGAAAGATTAAGCAAACAAAAAGTTTCCTTCTCCAGTACAAAAAAGAAAGAAAGAAAGAAAGAAGAAAGAAAGAAGAAAGAAAGAAAGAAAGAAAGAAAGAAAGAAAGAAAGAAAGAAAGAAAGAAAAGAAAGAAAGAAAGAGAAAGCAAGCTGCTGTGGGTCAGGTCCCATAAGTACGAGTTCAGAGTAATCAGTGCAGGGGTCCAGGCCTCTTTGTCCTTCCCTCCGCCTCCTGCTCCTGCGGGGACCACAGATGGAGCAGGGCAGGGCTGGACCAGGAGCCTCTGCCCAGGCATGGAGGGTGCACATCTCACCCTGGGATGTGGCCTGTGCAGGACCCAGGGCTCAGAAATGGGGTCCTTGCTTGCAGAGTTGCTGAAACTGAGACAGGCATGGTGGCCACTGAAATTGGGATCTGCAGTTCAGGCCAGGGGCCTGTGGAGCACTGGGTGGTGAGTGTGTAGTTTTGGTTATGAGTCACGGAAGTCAACATCCGGCCTCTCTGTGATGGTGTAGGCATGTGGTGAACAAGAAGGGCAGCAGCCCTGATGTCTCTTCTTCTCCACAGACCCACACTGGCTGAGGGTCTGGGCACATGGCACAGACGAAGTCCTTTCACTGCCAAGAAGCCTGAGCAATGGGTTCCTGCCCCTCACGGACCTGGAGCTGGGGAAGGAAGTGGAAAGGCACTGGCTTGGACGGAGAAAAGCCCCTCAACTGAGCCCCTAAGAAGGGGTCCCCAGTGGAGGTGTGGGGGCAGGCATGCAGATGTGGAAAGAGTGTGGCCAGCAGGGGCCGGAGTCCAAAGCGCAGCTCTCCCGAGGCTGCTCCTAGACGCCAGCCGGGTGAGGCCTTTATAATTGTCCGTGGCAGGGCCTGAAGGGTCCCATGAAGGATTTGGGGCTGGATCCAACTCCCAAGGCCAGGAGGGCAAACAGGGGATGTGGGAACAGGAGGGGCTGGCGTCTGCGGCTGGTGGCTGATGGGGGTCCTGCTGGATGATGGGGGCTGTTGGGGTGGGCCTGGCTTAGAGGGAAAGGGTTTGTTGCCATGCAAAGACCATCCAGGTCCTAAACACAGGGAGCAGAGACGGCGTTAACGAGTTTACACCCTCTATGTGAAGGAAGATGTCCAGGAGAGCCCAGAGTAGAAGTAAAATGTGGGGAAACCCATGGCCACGCTGCATCTCATCTCACGCATTTCCTCAACTGCGGAGCTCTTCTCCATTCGTCTGTCCATCTATCCATCCGTCCGTCCATCCATCCATTCATATCCACAAGGCACACAGAGCCCCTGCTCTGAGCTGGTGCTGCTCTGCAAGCTGAGATGCTTTGCTGAACCCCACCTTGAGCACACACTGCACCATCTTTGTCGTTTCTAACTGTCTCCCTACACAGTTAGTTTCGTGCCATGGTCAGTGCCGTGGAAAAGTCCATGTTCTGATGTTTTCACAGGTGCAGGTGCTTTGGCCTTCAGTCACGGATTCCACCAACGGCACAAGCGCCCTTTGCTCAGATGGACAGGGACGCTGGACACGTACCCCTCAGAAGGACACAGCGCAGCCTTGATCTCACCGTGGACCTAGACCTCCTGGCCGCAGGGCCCTGCTGACCTTAGTGCCTCCTTACGGGGGATCCAGCCCACGCGCCCCAGGAGAGAAGCCAGAGGAAGGAAGCTTCTGAGGCCGAGCTCCTCCTGCGAGGTGAACATTATGCCGCTGACGTGCCGGAGAAGCCAAAAACGCATGCAATTAACTCACAGTGGATTGATATTTTCCATTTTAAATTTTGTCTTAAAAAGTTTCAGAAGTGAATGTAAAGTCTCATAATTGAAAAATATGAAAATATGGAGAACATGGTGTGTTTTATTTTTATTCATCTGTTTGCTATCATAGCAACCCTGCTTTCCCTTCATCTTCACATGTGTTTATATACATATGTAAACACACGTATGACAAAATGCCGAATTTTCACATTTCATTGGTTAATTTTCATTTCTGACCAGCAAGGGGTCAGAAGCGTGTCCTCCCTGCAGGGACTCCCCGGATTTCTCAGCACCTCTGAGCAGGCTTGGTGTGACGCTGAGGAGGAGCAGCGTCTAAAGCCTTCCAGGCAAGAGAGGAGCATATCACCGTGCTCACTGTGGGTGCCCATCAGCCACATGGCGCCCAGGCCAGCCTGGCAGGCTGAGTGTTGGGTGTGGTGTGGATGTGTGGTCTCGCCGCCTGCCCCCGAGGCGCTGAGGTCTGGGCCTGGTGTGGACGTGTGGTCTCGCCGCCCGCCCCCGAGGCGCTGAGGTCTGGGCCTGGTGTGGACGTGTGGTCTCGCCGCCTACCCCTGAGGTGCTGAGGTCTGGGCCTGTGTTCCCACCACGGGTTGTGATGAGGCCCGTGGGAAGATCTGCTCAGCCCAGGTGCTTACAAGAGTGGTCACGTGGCCTTGGTCTGAGCCCCTGAGGATGCCGGCAGGAGGGCTAGAAGCCAGGCTGTCCATCCTGGTACACAGGGGGTCCTGTGGTGTTCTGCCAGGTGAGGCTTGGGGGTGCAGGATGGAAACCCTGGGATTTGGAGGGTTGGCGGTTTAAGGGCCAGGGCTCATCAGCCACTGGAAGTAGGTTGATACCTGGAATGTGCCTGACCTTCTGGGCTGGTCTCCACATTTTTGACTCTGATGCTGTTTGCGGGCGGAGCAGTGCTGGCTGAGAAGACATGGTGAACACTGAATGAGCGCGTTCTCTGCAGCAAAGTTGAGCCTCGGGCTTGGCATCTTTTAGCAAAAGATTTATGGTCCCATCTCAAATAACTTTGTGTAGCAGAATGCTGAATTTTCACGTTTTATTGGATAATTTTCATTTTGGGCTATTGGTCCGAAACTCGTGACAGAAAGATATCACTTGACGATAGTATCATTCATCAAGTAAGAGAGACTAATTATCTTATTTTGAATGTGGATTTAAATTCATTCACCCTGCAAGTCCCTAAATATTGGATTGTCGATTTGAAAAATTGACTATGCTTTTCATTTATGTTACACAGATCATATTAGACGCAACAGATGAGCCTCCACCCACGTTCTCAGGTGCACTTCTGCACCTCCTGCCATCGGGTTCTACTTGATTCAGACCCTGAACCATTTTGTGATTGGGAAAAAGTACCCTGGAAGACTCAGTACCTGTTAGCCTGATCCTGGGTTCCGTGGGGCTTAGCACTAAGTGGACGCCCAGGATATCATTGTGGACCCAGTGGCACTCCAGGAGTGCTGGCTGCCCGCGGCTCTAAGGGTGCTGATGCGGTCTCCTGCCCTGGTGCGTGACTCCATGTGCCAAGGCCACGCGCACCTCCCTCAGGCCCCTTTCTGACTCTGCTCCACTCCACGTTCTGTCATCTGCGCACCAGGCACCTGCTGAGCACCCACAAAGACATGGCCACCCCCTCCTAGGCATTGCACACGCTGAGGAGGGCTGTGGTAGGAACGAGACTCAGCCCCCTGACCACTGAGGGTCCTGTCCTGGGGATGTCCACACTTGCCTTCCGCACTGGTTCCTGGGGAAACCCCTGCCACCCTTCCCAGCCTCCTCCACAGGGTCCTGACCTCACGGACTCGGGCGTGGCCCATGCTCTTCGTGCCGTCGTCAAGTTCACCTCTCGACAGCTCAGAGTCCTGGTTCCCAGGCCCAGGTACTGGGACCTGTGTGGATTCCAACTGTAGAGACCACCCTGTGGACGCTGCTCCATCCAGCTGAATCTCCCTGGTACTCTCTGGCCGGAATCAACATGCTGCTGGCTACTCCCTTGGATGCCCGTCTCATCTGCTCACCTGTGGCCCTCAACAGTCACCCTCTGCTCCTGGGCCACTTTCTCCAGCACCTGTGCCCTCCAAGGCAGGAAAATTGTGTGCCTGGTCCTAGCTCCTTTATTTTCCTCTCCTGGCCCATTTTGAGGAACAATAAACTCACACCTGAAGCTTAAATTACTACACAAAAGGTGGTATTGTAATATTTTTCATTGTAATTGCAAAATTAATGTGGAATTATGGATCTAATTAATTTACACTTATTTGGATGAACAGCCCAATAGACAGAAGTTTGAAAGCTGAGAGGATACAGATTATTTTGCAAGTTACATTACCAAAGAATTTTGGAAATGGAAGATTCTTACATGAAAGGATTGTTAATGTGATTTTGCTTTAAAAATATAACCTGTATTGGCAATTAATGAAATAATATGTAATTTAGAACAACTAGTTAATTTCGTAGAAACATTTTGTCAGAATTTCTGAGAAAATAATGCTTTAAATCTTTTTAACTGATCAAAACACTTTAAAATATTTGAGAAACATCCAGCTGTGTGGAGATTGCTATGAGAAATTAGGCTCACCCAATTTTTTCTTTCCTCCATTACTCATGTGTGTGTGCCCAAGTACTATTAAAAACTTAAGTAGGAAGTGAATTATGTAACTGCTATTACTGTCAAACATCACACTTGTTTCGTCAGCCCTAAGAGGCCAACTATACGTCTGTGGTTATCATCCCCGCCTTCAGGCTGGGGTGAAAAATAGAAGGTTCTTGATAGAATTTCAACTTCCTCTTACTCTAACTTCACAGGTTTTTCTAAATCCCCTTAGAATGGTGGCAAGATTTCTGCCAGACCATCCACCTTTGCAAGGTAACGTTTCTTTCAGCCATGATTCATGCAATTGATTATGTTGTTATTTAATGGAAAGAGGTGGCTCCTATAATGTGCACTGAGGAGTTGGATTCTTGATATAATAAATACACCTGCTGCTGTGTGCAAGGAGACCAGCTGGATGCTGCTATTGCTGCCTGACAGCCCCGCCGTAGCTGCTTTTCACATCCTGCTTTGCTTCGCAGGGCAATCCTGGCCCCTCTTTATCTGTCTGAATAACTCAAAGGCAGTCCCCTCCTTCCAGAGGGCCTTCCTTGCTCAATTGCTTTATGATGCTAGTTTGTTTATAACAATATCACATTTCAGTGGGGAGCCAGCTGGCTACTCTTCAAATTAAGAACAGATACAGTACCTGTCTCTGCAGAGAGCAAGGAAACTGACCATTTAGATCAGCATTATTGTCCCTTTTAATTTTTAAATGACTCCTGAGATCATACGCTGCCTGCTAAGCCTTTGTTATTGGTTAATGAGCGCTGTGCTGGTCAACGGAAAGCTTTGTTAACGTCCCACTCATAACTTATAAACAAATTCAGCTAGAAGAAAATTTTTGTTTAACACATGGATGCCAGATATTTGAAGAGTTCTTAGGGATTCCAAACTGGAAACACTTGTTGTGGCTAATGTGAATATCAAATCTGGAGTGACAATTAGCGTTGGACAACGCTCTAAAAGGGGGCTTGGCAAGTCCCCGAGACTCTCTGCCAGCGCATTTTTCATGGATGGCAGCAAATTACTCCCCTGCTCTTCCATTCATCTTCCTCAGTTGCTGACCCTGATGGATTCCAGCCCTTCTGTGTCTGCACCGTCTTTCTGATGAAAAGGTACACATTATGCATAGACTGTCTAACTGATGTTTAAGCTGGTCTGATGTTTGTTAATCACAATTAAAAAAAGGGAACTCTATTAATTTGTGGTCAAAACTCTTGGACAGACAGTGATAACTTGAGAAATGTAGTTCCTCAAATTCCAGTCATATCCTACTCGTCTGCACTTCTGCCTTTGCTCTGCTATATTCTCTGTGAGTCATCCTGCTTCAGGTAGCATCTTCCTGTCTAGTGCAATCAGGGTAGGGTATACCGTTTTTGGTAGAACTGGGCCTTTACTCAGCCTCTAAAGGCCCAGTCTTTAAGCTGTTTTGGTTAAAGGCTGGGCCAGCACACAGAAAGCTAAGGTGCCACCTATACACTATGACTTAATGAGACCTAAATTACTCATATACCCCAGCATCTGTCTTAGCCTGCCAAGTGACAAAATTTCACTGCTACAGGTAAAGTCATCACTCCAGAAGACCCTATTTGAAAACACAACAACTAATTAGCAGGAGTGATACATTCACTCGTTGGTATCTATTAGTTCATTAGAGTGAAGCTGCCCTTAGATAATGAGATGTTGCAGGCTGGTGTTGCTACAGCTGTATGATTAAGGTGAAATGTGAAACATATGTCCATTGTTTTCTTAAGATTAAAAAGTACAATGTGCCATTTACAAATGGTGTTTGGCTGTAGTAGGGTAGTAGAGACCCCAAATGATCATGGTTTAAATAAATTAGATTTTTTTTTTCTCATGAGAAGTCTGGAGACAAGCAATTCAGGGCTGGTGCGGTAAGTCCACGACATCCCAAGCTCCTTTAATCTCTCGGTCCCGCCATCCTTAATGCCTCCTTGCTTTCTCTCCCCGAAGTTACCCTGTGGTCACAAGATGCTTGCTGACTTCTAGCCATCATTTTCACATTCCAGGTCAGAAGAAGAAAGATGTAGAGAAAGGCAAAGGGGGCACAAAATTCAAGTTCCTTTATTGGAAACTTCACTCTATCACTGTAAATTACATTTTTTGGAAATTCCTAGGTGCGAGACAGGCTGGAAATAAAGGTGATAGCTGGGCATATCGCCACTTCAAAGGAAATCAGGGAAAAGGTGGGAAATAGGAATGCCAGCCAAGGAACTCGCATTTCCTATCACAACAGAGGAGTACAAATTAGCGGAGGGACTCTGGCAATGTGCATTCTGCTTGGGGGAACTATCACCTGGGGAGAAGCTGATGTGGTCTATTCAAGTTGGATGCAGAGACCTATGCCAGAGCTCGTGCTTTAGCTGGGAAAGTGCCCCTGCTGTCTGTCCACAGGAGCCTTGGAGGACTTCCCCCTCTTCACGTGACAGGACCCAGGAGAGGCGTGCCAGCCTCAGCTCAGCTCGCTGCCAGCTGAAAACTTCAAAAGAACATCAAGATCAGCTTCTCACAGTGTTTGAAAGGATTTGAAATTCATTCTCACCCTACATAGACTTGAGCCACTCTGTGGTTACAATGACGTGTTTTGTTTCCCATATAACCTCACTTTCTAATTCTTAACAGTTTGGAATCCTCTTATTGGTGACTATCCCTGCAGTTTCTAAATTAACTGGTAAAATGTATGTCTGACAAGGAGGAAAGAAGAAAAAAGCCCGCTGAACTGAGCTGCAGGGGGCTTGGCCAACCCATTCTCTAGCTCAGATACTTTCTCTCACACAGAACCTCACTTCGCATGGGATCAGCAAATGGCCTGTTATTTCATGTCTCAGAAGGGGGCTTGGCCAACCCATTCTGTAGCTCAGACACTTTCACACGCCAACCTCACTTCAGATGGGATCAGCAAATGGCCTGTTATTTCATGTCTCAGAAGTGTGACACTGTTCACAAGTCACAAAAGCAACAAATGCTTGTTCACTAATGCAGGGAATCTACTGCATTTCTGCATTTTAAATAAAAATGATGAATCAAGATTTTCAACTGTCTACAGTGGGAGCTCACCTTATTACCCACCTAGACTGTCTACAGTGGGAGCTCACTTACTCCCCATCCCAGCTGTCTACACTGGGAGCTCACCTTAATATCCATCTCATCTATCTACACCGGGGAACTCATCTTCTTACCCACATCAGTGTCAACACTGGGAGTTTACTAGTTTACTTACTACTCATCTTGACTGTCTACACTGGGGAGTTTACCTTATTCCTTATCATGATTGTCTACACTGGATAATCCACTTACTCATCATCTTGATTTTCTACACTGGGGAGCTGGCCTTACTGCCCATCTGGACTGTGCACACGGCGGGGCTCACTCTACTCTCCCTCTGGACTGTCCACACTAGGGGCTGGCCTCACTCTTCAGTAATGCACCTGGCACCGAGGGGGCGGTGCCCGTGACAGTGGCAGTCACTCTGAAGTGGGAACTGGCTCTCCCGTGCTGCAAATGCCTCTGGAGCTCCCAGCAGTCCCCACGCTCCCCCATGAGCGGGTGAGTGGTGAGGCCGGAGAGGGGAGTCACGGCAGCCCTTGAGGACCATCCAGTTTGGAATCTGGGATACCAGGAGGTACTGCAGAGGGGCGGCTGGAGCCTGGGGGCTGAGGAGAGAGAGGAGACTGGACGACGTGTTTGGAGTATTCATGGTCAGCTTTGGGGGCTGCTTACCCTTCCCTCTTTTGAGAACAGTGCTGGCCTCTGGTCTCAGAAAGGAGCTGGCCTGTGGTCTGGCTGGAGGCTGGGGCACCCGTGCTGGGAAGGTTATGCTATTTCTGTGAACGGTGTCCCTTTGCTGGGACGTGCCCACAACTCCAGCTGTGAAACCAGAAGAGAACAGACTCGTTTGTCAAGACGTCAAATGACCTGAGCGACCCTTCAGCCTCAGGGATGTCTGTTGTAATCTTCAAAATGTGTGTTTGGCTTTCCCCCCTCTGAGCTAAACAAACTTTGGTTTCCCTTCCCTCTTGTCAATATATCATGCTTTATAGCACATTACATGATTAAAAAGAGAGAGAAACATCTAGTGCAAGAACCCTCTGTGTGGCCTCATAAAATATTAATGGATTCAGAGAGGAAATGTGAAATCAACATCCCCTTGCATGCACTGGCTTGTGCTGGGTCTGGTTTCGGCGGCGGTGAGGCCAGGCCTGCTCCTGGGAAGAACCTGCAGGAAAGGCCGGAGTCACTGCCAGTCCAGAAAATGCTGTGTGGTATGTGGGTGGTGTGTGGTGTGGGGTGTGGTGTGTGGTGTGTGGCATGGTGTGTGCTGTGGTGTGTGGTGTGTGTGGTGTGTGTGGTGTGGTGTGTGGTGTGTGGGTGGTGTGTGGTGTGTGCTGTGTGGGTGGTGTGTGGTGTGTGGTGTGTGTGTGGTGTGTGGGTGGTGTGTGGGTAGTGTGTGGTGTGTGGTGTGTGGTGTGGGGTGTGTGTGGTGTGTGGGTGGTCTATGGTGTGTGGTGTGTGGTGTGTGCAGTGTGGTGTGTGCTGTGTGGTGTGGTGTGTGCTGTGTAGTGTGTGCTATGCGCTGTGTGGTGTGTGCTGTGTGGTGTGTGCTGTGTGGTGTGTGCTGTGTGGTGTGTGTCTGGTGTGTGGTGTGTGTGCTGTGTGGTGTGTGCTGTGTGGTGTGCTGTGTGCTATGCGCTGTGTGGTGTGTGCTGTGTGGTGTGGTGTGTGCTGTGTGGTGTGTGCTGTGTGGTGTGTGCTGTGTGGTGTGTGTCTGGTGTGTGCTGTGTGGTGTGGTGTGTGCTGTGTGGTGTGTGCTGTGTGGTGTCTGGTGTGTGCTGTGTGGTGTGTGTGCTGTGTGGTGTGTGCTGTGTGGTGTGTGCTGTGTGGTGTGATCTCATACTCCAATGGAGACACGGAAGAGGGCAGACGGGCAATGTCCGTGCCACCCGGCGTGTAACGGAGCGTGTGCCTGGGAATCACGACCTTGAATCCCACTTAGGGGGCTCCCTGCAGCCTCCTCCACTGCGGCCCTGACACACGCGGGTGTGGTTCCCTCGGACGCTCCCTGGCTTCCCTCTGTCCTCGCCGCCGCCCGGGGCCAAGTGCTGCTCGGTGCCTCCTTCCCAGCCGCCCTCCCCAGCCCCAGGCCGGCCGGGGCGCCCTGCAGCCTCCCTAAGGGGCCTGCGCTTCCAGACGGGTTGCGTTTCCGACCTGCAACAGGCACAACAGGTCTGGAAGGACCCGAAGGTGACTTTAAAACAGTTTCCGAGAGGGTGGCCACGGTCAGGCACCGGGAAGATCCAGCTGAACTGAGAGGGAGGTGACCCGCCTGCAGGAGGCCTGGGCTCCGGGTCTGCACTGCGGTGGGTGCGGGGAGGGAAACGGCCGCGCGGGCCCCAGGCGCCAAGGGAAGGAGCGCCTCGCAGGGGCGCGAACCCAGGGCTGGGGGCCCTTCCCGTGTTTCAGCAAAGCCAGGCCGGTGGCCCCCGCTGAGCATCTGCGCAAAGCCCCGCGCCATGGGACTGAGGCTGAAGGACTCTTCATCCATCACTGCCCCGGCCAATGTGCCGCTCGGCGATCGGTGGGAAATTCAGGCCATCTGTCTCTCCCGCCCTGCCCGGTTCCCTTCAGGGTTCCCCACGGCCCCCTCTGCGGGGTTTGTCCCGTCCCTGGCGAGGCAGCCCTCGCAGCCGGGCCTGGAGAGAAGGCAAAGCAGCCTCGGAAGCCTCTCCTGGGAGTCGGTGACACAGGGAGCCCAGCCGGCCGGGAGCCGAGAGGCGATGCCACAGGGACAGAGGGGCCGCTCCGAGTAGAGCAGAACAAGGTGCAGCCCAGGCCCACCTGTCCACCCGATGGGAAATGCCGCTGCTCATGAAGGAAATCATGAATGCCGCAACGTAGCCAGGCCTGTGACGAGGAGGAAAAACTGCGGGATGTGGGATGTGAGATTAAAAACAAACAAACAAACACACACACACATTTCATCCTTGTAATCCCAGCACTTTGGGAGGCTGAGGTGGGCGGATCACCCGAGGTCAGGAATTCACAACCAGCCTGGCCAACCTGGTGAAACACTGTCTTTCCTAAAAATACAAAAAATTAGTCGGGCGTGATGGCAAGCGCCGTAATCCCAGCTACTCTGGAGGCTGAGGCAGGAGAATGGCTTGAACCCCCGAGGTGGAGGTTGCAGTGAGCCGAGATGGCACCACTGCACTCCAGCCTGGCGACAGAGCAAGACTCCATCTCAAAAAAGAGAAAGCACAACTCACACTCACACACAAACACCCTTACACATGCACTCACATATGCACACACATGCACACTCTCGCACTCTCAGGCACACATGGACCCACAAACACATGCACACACACACACACGCAGGCACACACAACCATGAACTCACATGCACAGTCACACACACGCACTCATACACCTGCGCACACACACGCATTCTCAATCACACATGAACATGCACTCAGACACACACATGCACTCACACATGTACACACTCCCAAACGCATTCACACTGATGCTCATGCACACATGCTCATACACAGACACACACACGCACATGCACTCACAGACACACATGCACCTCTACACACCCATGCACACTCACACATCCACTCACATGCACTTACACAAGGCACACATACACACACCTGCACACACATTCACACATGCACTCACAACCACTCACTTGCACACACATGCACTCACACTATCATGCACTCATGCATTCATACACTAACACATGCACTCACATATGCACTGAAACACTTAGACACATGCACACACAAACACACATGCACACACAAACATGCACTCACACAATCACACACTTTCACCCACACGAGCACATTCACACATGCACTTGCACTCACCCACATTCACACACACATGCACTCCACAAATATGCAACACACACATGCACTCACACACAAACTCATGCATGCACTCACACACAAACTCACACATGCACTCACACACAACCACACACACATGCACTAACGCACATCCATACACTCACACATGCACTGCCACACACACGGACTCATACACATGCACTGATGCACACACATGCACTTACACAGTAATATGCACACACATGCACTCACACACTCCCATACACACACATGCACTCACAGGCACACAAACACATACTCATGGACTCACACAGGCATTCACATACACACATGGAGTTACACATGCACTCACACACACTCATCCACTCACACATTCACACACATGCACTTACACACACACCCATAGACACATGCACTCACACATTTACACACACTCACATGCATACACATGGTCTTACAACTCACATGCAATTGCATGCACTCACACACATGCACACACATGCACTTGCACACACAGGCACACACTCACATGCACTTGGACACACTTACACACAGACACACATTTATTGATTTTCACATGGTGCGAAGTAACTCTACATGGATTTTTCAGACTTCCTTTATTCTCATGGAAATACATGTTGGAATCTATGTTCTTTTGGGGCTATTTTCAAGCAAGCAGTGGTGAGTGGTGGTGTCTGGTGCCAGCGGGAGGCGCAGTCATGTTGATGTGGCCCCCAGCTGCGGGTGCAGCTGCAGCCCCCGGTGGGCATCGCCTAGAGGCGTCTATGAGATGGGATGACAGGGGTGGGGGGACCCTAGAAGAAACACTGGAGGAAATCCCCGGGGGCATCAGCTGCAGCCTCCCACTGCACATAGGGTCTCGGTGCCCTCAGAAATGCACTCTCCAGGGGATCCCCAACACAGACACCCGAGCTGCGAAGAGGAGGAAAGACTGGAATCCGAGAACAAGGCCCAGGGAACTGTGATGTCAGGACACAACTCAGGACCTCCAGTGTCTGTGTTCTCACAGAGACCTCCCCTTCCCAACGTGCCCAGCACTTCAGCCTGCAGCCGACTCCCCTGGCAGTGTGAACGCTTGCCGACTACCCTGGCGGTGTGGGCCCTTGGGTGCTTTCTGGACGGACTGGTGGTTCTTTGGGTGTAACCGACGGGCCTGGGGAAGGAAGGCGGTGTGTCCGCCTGGCTGTTTTCAGCTTTGTCCAGGTGTGGACGGGGCTGGCTGGTCTCTGGAAGTCCTTGGGGGTGGCCTGCTCCATGTCCTCTGCGAGGCTGCGAGGCATGAAAGACAGCTTGCTTCTCGGAGGGACGTCGGCGCCTTCCTTAGCAGGCCTGTAAACCAAGGGACAGGCAGAGCCATCGTTTCCGGCTTCAGGAAAATGATGAGGTTTTTAAAAAATAATTAAAATGCAATTAATTCTTTTATTGATGTCTCTGACGTTTGAGGACCCCATCGATGGACCACCAGGGTCCCCTGTGCAGCTGTGAGAGTCATGGCTGCTGATGGAGCTGCAGCGTTCACACCGAGGCCTGCACAGCCCTGACGGGGGAGGACGCAGATCAGCCAGGCCTCGGCTTTCGTGTCTTATACACACGAGTACAGCAATTTTATCAAAGTCATGCTCCAGCACCTCCACGCACTATGGGCTGCTGAATCTCGAGAGCCCGGGAATTTGCGGGTTGGGAGTCACAGTTGTGGGTCAGTGACCTTTGTCACTCGCCAGGACGTTCTACTCAGTACTTCATCCAACAAGCATTTATGAACTCCTGACTTCCAGCCCCTGCACGAGTCCCCAAAGCACAGAGCTGGAGATGAAGACCGTTCCTCCAAATACCATGAGGCCCGGGTGAGGACAGCTGCCGGGACCACACAGGACAGTGAGCGCAGACACACAGGCTTGCACAGCGTGTAGGGGTGGAGGGCGGTCTAGGCTTGTGGAGGCACCAGGGCTGGCAGAAAGAGCTCCTGAGAGAGGGCAGGCTTTGCAGGGTCTTGAGGCAGAAACAGGAGTTTCCCAGGTGGAAGAAGAACAAAGCATCGGAGCTGGGGTGGCTGGGTCTGAGAGTTCAAAGAAGCATTGTGACCCAGCCCAGGAACCTGGAGAGGCTCACGAGAGGCCAGGTGGGCTACTCTCGGGCAGACGGCCTCAGGGAGCGTGCAAGCAGCTCTGGAGAGTGTCCGCGAGTCAGGGAGAAGGGCCAGGGGCTCAGCTGGGTACAGGTGCACAGCAAGGAGAATGTCGGCCATCCTAGGCATCTCACTTCCGTCTCCCTTCTGATGAGGAAAGCAAGGCAGAAGCGGGTGCAGAACCTGTCAACGGTTGGCCTTTTCCTCTCTGTGCGACTGCAGCTGCGACAACTGAAGAGAGTGGCCAGGTTCTGGGAAGCCCAAGGGAAGAAGAGAGAAAAAGTGTCTCCAGGAGCAGCCTGAAAGTACGCAGGAAGCCGGACACATTAAGGCTACAACAGTAATTCACATTGCTTCCTGTAGACACATAGAACTAAGGCTGTAACAGTAACTCACATTGCTTCCTGTATACACATAGGACTAAGGCTGTAACAGTAACTCACATTGCTTCCTGTATACACGTAGGACTAAGGCTGTAACAGTAACTCACATTGCTTCCTGTATACACATAGGACTAAGGCTGTAACAGTAACTCACATTGCTTCCTCTATACACGTAGGACTAAGGCTATGACAGTAACTCACATTGCTTCCTGTATACACATAGGACTAAGGCTGTAACAGTAACTCACATTGCTTCCTGTATACACGTAGGACTAAGGCTGTAACAGTAACTCACATTGCTTCCTGTATACACATAGGACTAAGGCTAGGACAGTAACTCACATTGCTTCCTGTATACACATAGGACTAAGGCTAGGACAGTAACTCACATTGCTTCCTGTATACACGTAGGACTAAGGCTAGGACAGTAACTCACATTGCTTCCTGTATACACATAGGACTAAGGCTAGGACAGTAACTCACATTGCTTCCTGTATACACGTAGGACTAAGGCTATGACAGTAACTCACATTGCTTCCTGTATACACATAGGACTAAGGCTGTAACAGTAACTCACATTGCTTCCTGTATACACGTAGGACTAAGGCTAGGACAGTAACTCACATTGCTTCCTGTATACACGTAGGACTAAGGCTGCAACAGTAACTCACATTGCTTCCTGTATACACATAGGACTAAGGCTAGGACAGTAACTCACATTGCTTCCTGTATACACGTAGGACTAAGGCTAGGACAGTAACTCACATTGCTTCCTGTATACACGTAGGACTAAGGCTGTAACAGTAACTCACATTGCTTCCTGTATACACGTAGGACTAAGGCTGTAACAGTAACTCACATTGCTTCCTGTATACACGTAGGACTAAGGCTAGGACAGTAACTCACATTGCTTCCTGTATACACATAGGACTAAGGCTATGACAGTAACTCACATTGCTTCCTGTATACACGTAGGACTAAGGCTATGACAGTAACTCACATTGCTTCCTGTATACACGTAGGACTAAGGCTGTAACAGTAACTCCCATTGCTTCCTGTATACACGTAGTACTAAGGCTAGGACAGTAACTCACATTGCTTCCTGTATACACGTAGGACTAAGGCTAGGACAGTAACTCACATTGCTTCCTGTATACACATAGGACTAAGGCTATGACAGTAACTCACATTGCTTCCTGTATACACATAGGACTAAGGCTAGGACAGTAACTCACATTGCTTCCTGTATACACATAGGACTAAGGCTAGGACAGTAACTCACATTGCTTCCTGTATACACATAGGACTAAGGCTAGGACAGTAACTCACATTGCTTCCTGTATACACGTAGGACTAAGGCTAGGACAGTAACTCACATTGCTTCCTGTATACACGTAGGACTAAGGCTAGGACAGTAACTCACATTGCTTCCTGTATACACGTAGGACTAAGGCTAGGACAGTAACTCACATTGCTTCCTGTATACACATAGGACTAAGGCTAGGACAGTAACTCACATTGCTTCCTGTATACACGTAGGACTAAGGCTAGGACAGTAACTATCATTGCTTCCTGTATACACATAGGACTAAGGCTAGGACAGTAACTCACATTGATTCCTGTATACACGTAGGACTAAGGCTAGGACAGTAACTCACATTGCTTCCTGTATACACAAAGGACTAAGGCTGTAACAGTAACTCACATTGCTTCCTGTATACACATAGGACTAAGGCTAGGACAGTAACTCACATTGCTTCCTGTATACACATAGGACTAAGGCTAGGACAGTAACTCACATTGCTTCCTGTATACACGTAGGACTAAGGCTAGGACAGTAACTCACATTGCTTCCTGTATACACATAGGACTAAGGCTAGGACAGTAACTCACATTGCTTCCTGTATACACGTAGGACTAAGGCTATGACAGTAACTCACATTGCTTCCTGTATACACATAGGACTAAGGCTGTAACAGTAACTCACATTGCTTCCTGTATACACGTAGGACTAAGGCTAGGACAGTAACTCACATTGCTTCCTGTATACACATAGGACTAAGGCTGTAACAGTAACTCACATTGCTTCCTGTATACACATAGAACTAAGGCTGTAACAGTAACTCACATTGCTTCCTGTATACACATAGAACTAAGGCTGTAACAGTAACTCACATTGCTTCCTGTATACACATAGGACTAAGGCTGTAACAGTAACTCACATTGCTTCCTGTATACACGTAGGACTAAGGCTAGGACAGTAACTCACATTGCTTCCTGTATACACATAGGACTAAGGCTGTAACAGTAACTCACATTGCTTCCTGTATACACTTAGGACTAAGGTATGACAATAACTCACATTGCTTCCTGTATACAGGTAGGACTAAGGCTGCAACAGTAACTCACATTGCTTCCTGTATACACGTAGGACTAAGGCTGTAACAGTAACTCACATTGCTTCCTGTATACACGTAGGACTAAGGCTGTAACAGTAACTCACATTGCTTCCTGTATACACGTAGGACTAAGGCTGTAACAGTAACTCACATTGCTTCCTGTATACACATAGGACTAAGGCTGCAACAGTAACTCACATTGCTTCGTGTATACACATAGGACTAAGGCTAGGACAGTAACTCACATTGCTTCCTGTATACACGTAGGACTAAGGCTAGGACAGTAACTCACATTGCTTCCTGTATACACGTAGGACTAAGGCTGTAACAGTAACTCACATTGCTTCCTGTATACACGTAGGACTAAGGCTGTAACAGTAACTCACATTGCTTCCTGTATACACGTAGGACTAAGGCTAGGACAGTAACTCACATTGCTTCCTGTATACACATAGGACTAAGGCTATGACAGTAACTCACATTGCTTCCTGTATACACGTAGGACTAAGGCTGTAACAGTAACTCACATTGCTTCCTGTATACACGTAGGACTAAGGCTATGACAGTAACTCACATTGCTTCCTGTATACACGTAGGACTAAGGCTTTAACAGTAACTCACATTGCTTCCTGTATACACATAGGACTAAGGCTATGACAGTAACTCACATTGCTTCCTGTATACAGGTAGGACTAAGGCTGCAACAGTAACTCACATTGCTTCCTGTATACACGTAGGACTAAGGCTAGGACAGTAACTCACATTGCTTCCTGTATACACATAGGACTAAGGCTGTAACAGTAACTCACATTGCTTCCTGTATACACTTAGGACTAAGGCTATGACAGTAACTCACATTGCTTCCTGTATACACGTAGGACTAAGGCTGTAACAGTAACTCACATTGCTTCCTGTATACACGTAGGACTAAGGCTGTAACAGTAACTCACATTGCTTCCTGTATACACGTAGGACTAAGGCTAGGACAGTAACTCACATTGCTTCCTGTATACACATAGGACTAAGGCTGTAACAGTAACTCACATTGCTTCCTGTATACACGTAGGACTAAGGCTAGGACAGTAACTCACATTGCTTCCTGTATACACATAGGACTAATGCTATGACAGTAACTCACATTGCTTCCTGTATACACGTAGGACTAAGGCTGTAACAGTAACTCACATTGCTTCCTGTATACACGTAGGACTAAGGCTGTAACAGTAACTCACATTGCTTCCTGTATACACGTAGGACTAAGGCTGTAACAGTAACTCACATTGCTTCCTGTATACACGTAGGACTAAGGCTGTAACAGTAACTCACATTGCTTCCTGTATACACATAGGACTAAGGCTGCAACAGTAACTCACATTGCTTCCTGTATACACATAGGACTAAGGCTAGGACAGTAACTCACATTGCTTCCTGTATACACGTAGGACTAAGGCTAGGACAGTAACTCACATTGCTTCCTGTATACACGTAGGACTAAGGCTGTAACAGTAACTCACATTGCTTCCTGTATACACGTAGGACTAAGGCTGTAACAGTAACTCACATTGCTTCCTGTATACACGTAGGACTAAGGCTAGGACAGTAACTCACATTGCTTCCTGTATACACATAGGACTAAGGCTATGACAGTAACTCACATTGCTTCCTGTATACACGTAGGACTAAGGCTGTAACAGTAACTCACATTGCTTCCTGTATACACATAGGACTAAGGCTATGACAGTAACTCACATTGCTTCCTGTATACACGTAGGACTAAGGCTGTAACAGTAACTCACATTGCTTCCTGTATACACGTAGGACTAAGGCTGTAACAGTAACTCACATTGCTTCCTGTATACACGTAGGACTAAGGCTGTAACAGTAACTCACATTGCTTCCTGTATACACGTAGGACTAAGGCTGTAACAGTAACTCACATTGCTTCCTGTATACACATAGGACTAAGGCTGCAACAGTAACTCACATTGCTTCGTGTATACACATAGGACTAAGGCTAGGACAGTAACTCACATTGCTTCCTGTATACACGTAGGACTAAGGCTAGGACAGTAACTCACATTGCTTCCTGTATACACGTAGGACTAAGGCTGTAACAGTAACTCACATTGCTTCCTGTATACACGTAGGACTAAGGCTGTAACAGTAACTCACATTGCTTCCTGTATACACGTAGGACTAAGGCTAGGACAGTAACTCACATTGCTTCCTGTATACACATAGGACTAAGGCTATGACAGTAACTCACATTGCTTCCTGTATACACGTAGGACTAAGGCTATGACAGTAACTCACATTGCTTCCTGTATACACGTAGGACTAAGGCTGTAACAGTAACTCCCATTGCTTCCTGTATACACGTAGTACTAAGGCTAGGACAGTAACTCACATTGCTTCCTGTATACACGTAGGACTAAGGCTAGGACAGTAACTCACATTGCTTCCTGTATACACATAGGACTAAGGCTATGACAGTAACTCACATTGCTTCCTGTATACACATAGGACTAAGGCTAGGACAGTAACTCACATTGCTTCCTGTATACACATAGGACTAAGGCTAGGACAGTAACTCACATTGCTTCCTGTATACACGTAGGACTAAGGCTAGGACAGTAACTCACATTGCTTCCTGTATACACGTAGGACTAAGGCTATGACAGTAACTCACATTGCTTCCTGTATACATATAGGACTAAGGCTGTAACAGTAACTCACATTGCTTCCTGTATACACGTAGGACTAAGGCTAGGACAGTAACTCACATTGCTTCCTGTATACACATAGGACTAAGGCTGTAACAGTAACTCACATTGCTTCCTGTATACACATAGAACTAATGCTGTAACAGTAACTCACATTGCTTCCTGTATACACATAGAACTAAGGCTGTAACAGTAACTCACATTGCTTCCTGTATACACATAGGACTAAGGCTGTAACAGTAACTCACATTGCTTCCTGTTTTTTTCTTACTTTTCCACGCTAGGACAGTAACTCTCATTGCTTCCTGTATACACGTAGGACTAAGGCTGTAACAGTAACTCACATTGCTTTCCTGATACACGTAGGACTAAGGCTATGACAGTAACTCACATTGCTTCCTGTATACACGTAGGACTAAGGCTTTAACAGTAACTCACATTGCTTCCTGTATACACATAGGACTAAGGCTATGACAGTAACTCACATTGCTTCCTGTATACAGGTAGGACTAAGGCTGCAACAGTAACTCACATTGCTTCCTGTATACACGTAGGACTAAGGCTAGGACAGTAACTCACATTGCTTCCTGTATACACATAGGACTAAGGCTAGGACAGTAACTCACATTGCTTCCTGTATACACGTAGGACTAAGGCTATGACAGTAACTCACATTGCTTCCTGTATACACATAGGACTAAGGCTGTAACAGTAACTCACATTGCTTCCTGTATACACGTAGGACTAAGGCTAGGACAGTAACTCACATTGCTTCCTGTATACACATAGGACTAAGGCTGTAACAGTAACTCACATTGCTTCCTGTATACACATAGAACTAAGGCTGTAACAGTAACTCACATTGCTTCCTGTATACACATAGAACTAAGGCTGTAACAGTAACTCACATTGCTTCCTGTATACACATAGGACTAAGGCTGTAACAGTAACTCACATTGCTTCCTGTATACACGTAGGACTAAGGCTAGGACAGTAACTCACATTGCTTCCTGTATACACATAGGACTAAGGCTGTAACAGTAACTCACATTGCTTCCTGTATACACTTAGGACTAAGGCTATGACAGTAACTCACATTGCTTCCTGTATACACGTAGGACTAAGGCTGTAACAGTAACTCACATTGCTTCCTGTATACACGTAGGACTAAGGCTGTAACAGTAACTCACATTGCTTCCTGTATACACGTAGGACTAAGGCTAGGACAGTAACTCACATTGCTTCCTGTATACACATAGGACTAAGGCTGTAACAGTAACTCACATTGCTTCCTGTATACACGTAGGACTAAGGCTAGGACAGTAACTCACATTGCTTCCTGTATACACATAGGACTAATGCTATGACAGTAACTCACATTGCTTCCTGTATACACATAGGACTAAGGCTGTAACAGTAACTCACATTGCTTCCTGTATACACGTAGGACTAAGGCTGTAACAGTAACTCACATTGCTTCCTGTATACACATAGGACTAAGGCTGTAACAGTAACTCACATTGCTTCCTCTATACACGTAGGACTAAGGCTATGACAGTAACTCACATTGCTTCCTGTATACACATAGGACTAAGGCTGTAACAGTAACTCACATTGCTTCCTGTATACACGTAGGACTAAGGCTGTAACAGTAACTCACATTGCTTCCTGTATACACATAGGACTAAGGCTGTAACAGTAACTCACATTGCTTCCTGTATACACATAGGACTAAGGCTGTAACAGTAACTCACATTGCTTCCTGTATACACATAGGACTAAGGCTATGACAATAACTCACATTGCTTCCTGTATACAGGTAGGACTAAGGCTGCAACAGTAACTCACATTGCTTCCTGTATACACGTAGGACTAAGGCTGTAACAGTAACTCACATTGCTTCCTGTATACACGTAGGACTAAGGCTAGGACAGTAACTCACATTGCTTCCTGTATACACATAGGACTAAGGCTGTAACAGTAACTCACATTGCTTCCTGTATACACATAGAACTAAGGCTAGGACAGTAACTCACATTACTTCCTGTATACACATAGGACTAAGGCTGTAACAGTAACTCACATTGCTTCCGGTATACACGTAGGACTAAGGCTGTAACAGTAACTCACATTGCTTCCTGTATACACGTAGGACTAAGGCTGTAACAGTAACTCACATTGCTTCCTGTATACACGTAGGACTAAGGCTATGACAGTAACTCACATTACTTCCTGTATACACGTAGGACTAAGGCTGCAACAGTAACTCACATTGCTTCCTGTATACACATAGGACTAAGGCTGTAACAGTAACTCACATTGCTTCCTGTATACACGTAGGACTAAGGCTGTAATAGTAACTCACATTGCTTCCTGTATACACGTAGGACTAAGGCTGTAACAGTAACTCACATTGCTTCCGGTATACACATAGGACTAAGGCTAGGACAGTAACTCACATTACTTCCTGTATACACGTAGGACTAAGGCTATGACAGTAACTCACATTGCTTCCTGTATACACGTAGGACTAAGGCTGTAACAGTAACTCACATTGCTTCCTGTATACACATAGGACTAAGGCTGTAACAGTAACTCACATTGCTTCCTGTATACACATAGAACTAAGGCTAGGACAGTAACTCACATTGCTTCCTGTATACACGTAGGACTAAGGCTATGACAGTAACTCACATTACTTCCTGTATACACGTAGGACTAAGGCTATGACAGTAACTCACATTGCTCCCTGTATACACATAGGACTAAGGCTGCAACAGTAACTCACATTGCTTCCTGTATACACATAGGACTAAGGCTATGACAGTAACTCACATTGCTTCCTGTATACAGGTAGGACTAAGGCTGCAACAGTAACTCACATTGCTTCCTGTATACACGTAGGACTAAGGCTAGGACAGTAACTCACATTGCTTCCTGTATACACGTAGGACTAAGGCTGTAACAGTAACTCACATTGCTTCCTGTATACACATAGGACTAAGGCTATGACAGTAACTCACATTGCTTCCTGTATACACGTAGGACTAAGGCTGTAACAGTAACTCACATTGCTTCCTGTATACACGTAGGACTAAGGCTGTAACAGTAACTCACATTGCTTCCTGTATACACGTAGGACTAAGGCTGTAACAGTAACTCACATTGCTTCCTGTATACACGTAGGACTAAGGCTGTAACAGTAACTCACATTGCTTCCTGTATACACATAGGACTAAGGCTGCAACAGTAACTCACATTGCTTCCTGTATACACATAGGACTAAGGCTAGGACAGTAACTCACATTGCTTCCTGTATACACGTAGGACTAAGGCTAGGACAGTAACTCACATTGCTTCCTGTATACACGTAGGACTAAGGCTGTAACAGTAACTCACATTGCTTCCTGTATACACGTAGGACTAAGGCTGTAACAGTAACTCACATTGCTTCCTGTATACACGTAGGACTAAGGCTAGGACAGTAACTCACATTGCTTCCTGTATACACATAGGACTAAGGCTATGACAGTAACTCACATTGCTTCCTGTATACACGTAGGACTAAGGCTATGACAGTAACTCACATTGCTTCCTGTATACACGTAGGACTAAGGCTGTAACAGTAACTCCCATTGCTTCCTGTATACACGTAGTACTAAGGCTAGGACAGTAACTCACATTGCTTCCTGTATACACGTAGGACTAAGGCTAGGACAGTAACTCACATTGCTTCCTGTATACACGTAGGACTAAGGCTATGACAGTAACTCACATTGCTTCCTGTATACACATAGGACTAAGGCTAGGACAGTAACTCACATTGCTTCCTGTATACACATAGGACTAAGGCTAGGACAGTAACTCACATTGCTTCCTGTATACACATAGGACTAAGGCTAGGACAGTAACTCACATTGCTTCCTGTATACACGTAGGACTAAGGCTAGGACAGTAACTCACATTGCTTCCTGTATACACGTAGGACTAAGGCTAGGACAGTAACTCACATTGCTTCCTGTATACACGTAGGACTAAGGCTAGGACAGTAACTCACATTGCTTCCTGTATACACATAGGACTAAGGCTAGGACAGTAACTCACATTGCTTCCTGTATACACGTAGGACTAAGGCTAGGACAGTAACTATCATTGCTTCCTGTATACACATAGGACTAAGGCTAGGACAGTAACTCACATTGCTTCCTGTATACACGTAGGACTAAGGCTGTAACAGTAACTCACATTGCTTCCTGTATACACATAGGACTAAGGCTGTAACAGTAACTCACATTGCTTCCTGTATACACATAGAACTAAGGCTAGGACAGTAACTCACATTGCTTCCTGTATACACGTAGGACTAAGGCTATGACAGTAACTCACATTGCTTCCTGTATACACGTAGGACTAAGGCTATGACAGTAACTCACATTGCTCCCTGTATACACATAGGACTAAGGCTGCAACAGTAACTCACATTGCTTCCTGTATACACATAGGACTAAGGCTATGACAGTAACTCACATTGCTTCCTGTATACAGGTAGGACTAAGGCTGCAACAGTAACTCACATTGCTTCCTGTATACACGTAGGACTAAGGCTAGGACAGTAACTCACATTGCTTCCTGTATACACGTAGGACTAAGGCTGTAACAGTAACTCACATTGCTTCCTGTATACACATAGGACTAAGGCTATGACAGTAACTCACATTGCTTCCTGTATACACGTAGGACTAAGGCTGTAACAGTAACTCACATTGCTTCCTGTATACACGTAGGACTAAGGCTATGACAGTAACTCACATTGCTTCCTGTATACACATAGGACTAAGGCTATGACAGTAACTCACATTGCTTCCTTTATACACATAGGACTAAGGCTACGACCGTAACTCACATTACTTCCTGTATACACATAGGACTAAGGCTAGGACAGTAACTCACATTGCTTCCTGTATACACATAGGACTAAGGCTGTAACAGTAACTCACATTGCTTCCTGTATACACATAGAACTAAGGCTGTAACAGTAACTCACATTGCTTCCTGTATACACATAGAACTAAGGCTGTAACAGTAACTCACATTGCTTCCTGTATACACATAGGACTAAGGCTGTAACAGTAACTCACATTGCTTCCTGTATACACGTAGGACTAAGGCTAGGACAGTAACTCACATTGCTTCCTGTATACACATAGGACTAAGGCTGTAACAGTAACTCACATTGCTTCCTGTATACACTTAGGACTAAGGCTATGACAGTAACTCACATTGCTTCCTGTATACACGTAGGACTAAGGCTGTAACAGTAACTCACATTGCTTCCTGTATACACGTAGGACTAAGGCTGTAACAGTAACTCACATTGCTTCCTGTATACACGTAGGACTAAGGCTAGGACAGTAACTCACATTGCTTCCTGTATACACATAGGACTAAGGCTGTAACAGTAACTCACATTGCTTCCTGTATACACGTAGGACTAAGGCTAGGACAGTAACTCACATTGCTTCCTGTATACACATAGGACTAAGGCTAGGACAGTAACTCACATTGCTTCCTGTATACACGTAGGAATAAGGCTATGACAGTAACTCACATTGCTTCCTGTATGCACGTAGGACTAAGGCTGTAACAGTAACTCACATTGCTTCCTGTATGCACGTAGGACTAAGGCTGTAACAGTAACTCACATTGCTTCCTGTATACACGTAGGACTAAGGCTAGGACAGTAACTCACATTGCTTCCTGTATACACGTAGGACTAAGGCTATGACAGTAACTCACATTGCTTCCTGTATACACATAGGACTAAGGCTATGACAGTAACTCACATTGCTTCCTTTATACACATAGGACTAAGGCTACGACCGTAACTCACATTACTTCCTGTATACACATAGGACTAAGGCTAGGACAGTAACTCACATTGCTTCCTGTATACACGTAGGACTAAGGCTATAACAGTAACTCACATTGCTTCCTGTATACATGTAGAATATGGTGTGGACTTTGGGATTTATTAAAAATGAGAAGACATTTCTAATTTCCTTATGCTAGGAGATTTCTCTGGCAACAAAATAGTCTTTCTTCAACTGAGAGGGGCCATTGTCCTAGAGTGAATCAACATTGAGCTCATCTGGCGCACAGAAGCAAAGTGAGACTAACAGGGATGGTTGCATGCTTGGGTTTGTATCTTTTCCAAGGGCATCATCTGTGTGTCTGTTATGACATAGTCAACCCATCGCCATCACGTGAATTTACCACATGAAGATGGGGAAACGGGCATGATGGACCTCAGGAGGATGGAGCAAGCGGGGATGCTGGTCTCTGGGCCACGTTGACAGCTGTGCCCCATGGCTGGGCGGAAGCTTTCCTCGCTGTCTGCGGAGACGGCTTCCCTGCCCCCACATGGTGAGTGATGGTGTTTGCACATTTACCGTGCAGATGGGCAGGTTATGGGCTACACCCAGTCCCAGGACATCTGGCTGAAGCACCATGACTCTCTCAGTCTAGAAAGATGATTGGGAAGCACCAGTGTGAGTCAGAGTGAGTGAGTGTTATTCTTGCACAATATTACATACAGCTTAATTCATGCAAATATAAATCACCCACAAATGTGAGCACCTCGTCACCCGCGGGACATTACTTGTGACTCACCTTGGAATGGGGCTGGCTCTCATGTCTGCAGGGACGGTAGATCTGAAGAGGCCACTCCCTGGGAGGTCCAGCAGGTCCCAGGGAGGCCTGTGACACCCATGTGAGGCTCAGAACGATGTTCTGTGGCCGTGGGAAGTGTGGAAAACCCACTCTCCACAAGTGCCACGTGTGGCCTTGGTTTTCTAAGATGAGCTTCGTTTCAATGCCTTGTGATTTGCCGATGTCAACACAAGCTGCCCTGCGTGTGCTGGGGAGACACTGCAGCCCCCAGTCCAGTTGTCTAGCTGGCCTTAGGTTTGAGGAGAGCTCTATAAATGTTAACTGAGTGGATTCTAAAAGAGGTGAGTCAGATGGAATCACAGAACATGATGATGTGGAAACATTAATAAAAAATATGTCTTATTTTATAAACTTTTATTTACGAGTGTTCCCATTGTAGGAGCACTTTAAGAAAGGGATAATGCTCATTTTTATGTAACAGTAAAATTTACAAAATCTTCATCCTCTGCCTTGCATCTGATAAGGCCACAATCTCTCCCTTCAGGGGCAGGAAGGGACATCCAGGAGCGTCCCGGGGACGTGGTCGGAGGGAATTTGTAACAGCAGGGTGTTCGGTGGTGGAAATTTTCTCCTGAACCTGATCAGAGAATGAAGAATGCCACCGTTACAAGATTTACAGGAGAGGGCACCTATATAAATCCATCCGGATATTCTGGGCATACTAAGTAGATTGGGGGAGGAGGGGGTAAGGAGGGGCCGTGACAGTGACTCTTTCATCTCCTGGAGAAGACACACAAATAGACTTTCCACTGAAGAGAAGTCGAGGCCCATGCCCCACCCACGACTCAACGCACTTCTCCCATGACCCCATCAGGTGCCTGGGCTGCTGCACGGATCAAAAGACAGAAGAGTGGCCTGGTGCGCACTGAGCTGAGGGTGAGCAAAGGCAGCCCAGTCGCTGTGGTTCACAGCGTGATGCTTGTGCTGCCACAAAGTGTGCTGTGTGACACACGCAGCCCCCTTCCGTCAGAGCAGCTCAATGTTCCCATGAAGTAAATTTGAATGAGATAATGGCGTGGTCTGTGAACACCTGCTATGCTCTCTCGACTTCAGGCCTGAACTGTAGAATGAAGGAGTTGAACACCAAACCAACATGTGCGTCCTTATAACCCCCCAAATTATTCTGTTCTATTCTACTCATGGCCAAATACTAAAACAGAAATGTTTCCATTAGATGAAAATTCATGAAGATCTATTTCATGAATCATACCAAAAATAATGGAAAAGTTTCATGTAGAACATAACTTCCGATTCAATTTAGATCCATCTTACCGGAACGTATCCCTCGCTGTGTTTACGTTTGACCAGGTGATAATCGGTAAGCCGCTGCTCAGTGAGTTTAGCATGGCCAGCTCACCTCCGCATGTGTATGTGGTCATGCTGATATCTCGGAAAAAGTGAGGACAAACGACATTTCCAGGCAAGCCATTGTTCCCGCACTATTTTAGCATAGTCCTACATTTGTGATGGTTTACAATATGATGATGAATAACACGTGTTTGTTTAAAGTACGTAGAGCTTTCATATTCATTGTTTTGTTTGACCTCGCAGTCCTCTGGGGCAGGCAGGCAGGACAGAGGCCCCGTCTTACTGGCAGGCAGCGTGCTCAGTGTGCCGGGCGGGATCCGCGCCTTCTGCCTCCTCCCCGATGGCGCCCTTCCTCTCCGACCCCGCAGACACCTGCCTACTGCTCTCAGTGTTTCTACTTTACTAGACAGCACAACTTGCACACACCTCAAGTGTCTTATGACAAATGTCCAACCCTGGCAGCAGCATATTGGATCCCGTCCTGTCACGTGTCTGTGACCTGAGCCAGGCTTCCGGGTTTGGGGTCCCTATTTCCTCGTTTTCCTGTTTGTTACTATGGAAACGGGGGTATTGTGGTTAGGAGTAGCAAAAATGCGTTTTCCCAAACTCCCTAATATACACTTTTAGATCTAGAAGAAAGGTACACGTGAGGTGCTTTAAGTTCTTGGAAAGCAAAAAGGTGCGTATAAATGCTGGGTGGTGGCGTCATTATTAGTGATATTATTTCACTTTCTAAAGGCCCAAATTACCAGAGTGTTAACTCATTCCAACAAGGAGGCCCCTCTGGTTGACAGCACGTTTTGAGCGTTCTCCTGTGACCCGAGAATTCCCGGGATCTTTCCCTCCGGTATCGATCATGAGGGACCCCACAGTTCCTGAGTGAGCAGCATAAAAGATGGCTTTGACCTCAGTGACAGACTCGATACTAACATTCTCAGCATCCAGTGTCTCACCCCGTCTCCCAGAGACACATCATCTTTATTTTTATTTCATAGTCTTTGTAAACCATGTGATGATATGGAAGAGGCTGGTTTTGTGCTGCTGTTAATACAAACACACACACAAGCCGAGGACCCTCAGGGACCTCCCAGGACGCAGGGTGTGCGGGCCACCTCAGGTGCAGGGGCCACCCACCTCCGCCTCCTCCCATCTCCCCTCCACTCCCATGGCCCGACCCAGCCCTCAGATTCCCTCACTGTGGCTGCAGCAGCACCTGGCAGCCCACCGCCTCATCCCAGCCTCTCCCTGCGAGATCTTTCAGCCGCCCCGTCCTCGTCTCTAGCCCCCCGTCCTCTGTCCTCATCTCTAGCCCTCAGTCCTCATCTCTAGCCCCCCGTCCTCGTCTTTAGCCGCTGTTATCCTCGGAGGCCTCAGGTCCTTCCTTGCCTCTAGCCCTGTCTCCTGTTTGCCACCCTCCCCCGGCCTCCCTCCTTGTGGGGTTGGATTCTGTTAGACCCCATGGCTCACGTGCAGTCACGACCCAGGTTCTTCTCCCACCAGGAGCTCTCCCCAGCTGCACCTTGGTGTCCCCATGTTGACGGCAGGTGTAGACAGTGATGGGTCTTGCCCACAGAGTGGCCTCGTCACCCTGTGAGTGCTTCTATTGGCAAATCCAGAGGCCCCATGCAATCTGGAGTCCAGTGATGGAGTGAAGTCCACCCTCCCTTTCCTCCGACCCCATCCTCACCATGACCTCCAACCCCAGCCTCACCATGACCTCCAATCCCAGCCTCATCATGACCTCCGTGATAGCAAATCCTGACAGCTGGTGCCTTCCCGCCATCTCCACCAGCTCCACCCTCCTCCTCTTCTCCTCTCGTCTCAACCTCTCCACGGCTCAGCTTCCTTACATCCAAGTCCTTCCAGGTCACACAGGATCACCACACTAACCCTGCTAAAGCACCATTCAAGTCACACCATTGCCCTACTCCAGAACCTTCAGTGGCTCCCTACTGCTGGTACTAAAGTGGCCTTAAATCCAAGGCAGTCCATGGCGTACCTCAACCCTCTCATGAACATTTGTCCCCGTCATCCTTCAAACTGTTTGTGCTGATGAGGCCATTCTATTCTTTTCTGTTGCCCAAGCTCCCTGAACAGTTCTGCTGTAGTCTCTGCAGGAGGCGGGTCCACAAGTGATCAAAATCCAGGGTCACCAGGCCTGAGATGGGGTCACACCAGGGTGCGTGTGCATCCTCCTCCTGGAAAGGCCAGGTGGTCTTCCTGGAGGAAGTGGCATCTGAGTTGATAGACTTACGTGGAGTTACAAATCCTTGTCAGCGAGTCCAGGGCTGGCTGGAGAGTCTTGCCCATGTGAGAAAACGCAGACAGAGAAGTCCCCCGGGGGCTGTGATTCTCTTTCTGAGCCCTCCCTATCATGGCTGGGGACTCTGAGATCCTGGGGTGAAGTGGGCTGCTAGAGGCTGTGGAAGGGACACCTGGCTTCCCAGCAGCTGTGGAATCCTTTAATGAACATAACGTTGGCCAGCAGATGCCCCAGAGCCCCCCTCAGGGGTCGCCCTACCTCCTCATTAACACTCCCCTGAGGCCTCTGGGACTCTGGGTGTTTTCCTCACTGTTCAGGCGTTTGCGATCACAGGCAGGGCTGCACGGTCCTCGGTGATAGCCCTTACCTCCCCCGTTGGCCATGGCAGGACTGTTTACAACACAGAAATTGGCACACACTGTGCATCAGCTTGTGTGTGTGTGTGTGTGTGTGTGTGTGTTTCTGAGAACTCATTTTCAGCTGTTCACCAGCATACACAGATTTGGGGTTTTCTGTGAAATGTGGTCTGCAGGATCCCTGCTGGCATGTGGCCCGAGGGCTGACGGCATTGGTTGGTAATTGCACCTAGTGGGCTTCCAAGGAAGGGGCCTCCTCAGGGGCAGACGCCTCTCCTGCTTAGACCCTCAGGAGGGGCCCTTACAGACACACCACGGTGCCAGCGCCAGGGCCTGGCTGTTTCTCTCGGAATGCCAGTTTTCACAGCGTGCCCCCACAGAAAGAGTTGCAGGGTGGAAGCGTCAGTCCAGGTCCGCACTCCTGCTCCCCCGGAATGCAGTGACTTTCTTGGAGATAATGAGGCTTGTCCCAGAGAGGAAGAAACCGCACTGCAGGTCCTGGAGGTGAGATGCCTGGATAAGCCATGCCACACAAGGCATCGGAGCCTGGGCCGAAAGCAGCCACCCTCGGGACGAATGGTTCACTTGGCACTGTCCCTCCTGAGCTCAGGGACTATAAAGCGTGCCAGGCGATTTCCCAGAGATTCTCATCTCTGTTCAAGTATTAGCCTGCATCCCACTTTAGGAAAGGAACAAGAAATGACAAAAAAATCAGCATTTGAAAATAATTTCCACTCATTCTTATTGTTTGTGCTCATTACAGCTTCGTTTAAACCAGTGTTTAGCAGCTAACAGTGTAAATGCTCATTTTAACAGTTAAATTTACAGTTTTAGACAGTTTTTATGATGCCCAGCGACATCAATTTGACAAGTCTACTGTTAAAATAACTGTTTAAGCACTACATTTATAGCGGAAAACATTCTTTGTCACTGCTAAATTGACTCGTTTTAACTGCTACTTATTGTCAAAAACTTTTTTAAAAAAAATTACAGAGTGAGAGCATAGCAGTTTCTGTAACTTTGAAATTAAGTCACTCAAATTTTTGGATTACATAGAAACATTGCATTTTAAACAGTTCCTACTAAAAAGTGGGAAAATCATGTATTGCATTTACAGTGAGAACTATTAACTTGATTTATAGTGAAAGCGAAAATTTACTGCGTGTGGCTGGGCACCCAGATGTGAAGAACTTGACCTGAAGGTCTAGTCGAGTTTTCCTTCCATTTCAAAGAGTTGGTTGAGAATATGGTGTCTTTATTGCTCTTATAGAGAAGTGGATTTACCTTCAGAGGGGGGAGTTAATCACAAATATTAGCATCATTGATAATGAATGCTAAATATTAGAGATTATTGTATCACTGACAGATTTTCATATTAAGAAGGGTAATACATTGTTTGTTTCTGCGGAAAGCGAGCAATTTGGAATTTTTTTTTTGAGACATCATCTTGCTCTGTTGTCCAGGCTGGAGTGCAGTGGCACAATCATAGCTGACTACAGCCTCAACCTTCGGGGTAAAGGGATCCTCCCACCTCAGCCTCTGGAGTAGCTGGGACCATAGGTGTATGCCACCACGCCCAGCTAATTGTTGCATTTTTTGTCGAGATGGGGTCTCATCATGTTACCCAGGCTGGCCTCCAACTCCTGGGCTCAAGAGATCTGCCCACCTTGGCCACCCAAAGTCTGGGATTTACAGGCATGAGCCAATGTACCCTGCTGTGGAATATTAAAAAAAAAATTAAGTGTGCTGTAAGAAAAGTTTAGTAGCATCTTTGATTATATGACCTATTACATATTATATAAACTACTGTATATGTTCTGTTACATATATAGTATCGACATTACATATGTGTATATACATATACGTCTCCTGCTTAGAATCTCGCAATTTGATTTCTGTGGCACTGCATCATTTGTGTGTACAAATGCAGCTTAGATCAAGCATCTTCTTTTTTAAAAGCTTTTAAAACTTTGAATTTGTAAATAATCATTTCAGACGATTGATTTCCGCACTTGTCAATCAGCTGTTCTGATTCCATTAACCTGTATCTTTGTAGGAGATTCAAGCACTTGTAGCATTTTAACAACAGGAAATGATGTCATCAGACATTATCTTAAGTAAATGTACAGTTGATCTTCGCCAAGCAAAAGCATTCTTCATTTTAGCATTGAAATGAGGAAGTAAGCAGTTTCCTTACTTAAACCACACCAGTAATCTCAGGGGGAAATAAAAGAAATCCCGGCATGAGTTATGGGTCTTCTGCCGTGTTTAGAGAGACATTCCAAGTGTTGCAGACAGGTTGGATTTCATGCCAGCTTTGGTGGCCTCTTTATATCACTCTTTAAAACTTCCCAGATAGCTTAGCATTCCCAGCTTTAGGGAACTAATGACCCACTTAGAGGTTTCCCTCTTTTCTCCATCCTGTGGCAGAGGAAACAGCTCAGCTTCAAGAAGTGGTGGCATTAGGGTCTCCAACTCAGTTGTCATATTTCTAAAAGTCTTTACTGGGCACCTAGGACCTGAGCCAGGCTCAGTCTTACATGCTGGTTCCATGAAGGATGCACAGGCAGAGCGAAGGCTCCCCTAGGTCGGCGGATGAGCGCCCAGGTGTGTAGATCAGTCACTGTGTGCATTCCGTCAAGTTCATTGCAGAGGAGGTAACCCAACGGAATGATGGGAAACAGCAGTGAAAGGTTTAAGACTTTTATGAGGAGAAACTAGAGAAACTTTTCTAGAGAAATAGGCTTTTAAGGAAAAGCCAGTGATTTTCTCCCTTTTTTGGTAATAAAAATTGGAAGAAAAATCTTTGAGTGAGCAGCAGAAGAGATGTTGGTGAGAATTTGTGGACAGTCACGGGAATCAATGTGTTTTCATAGCAGGTACTTGGTCACCGAGTGGCACCTACGAGTCTGAAGCCCGTCTTCTGGTGATGCCATTGGTTGGATCTGATTTTATAGTTAAAAAGCAAAAGGACAAACACACACCAACTCCAGGCCATGGCTGTTTCGCAGCCGTCTGTCTGCACTGTGCAGATGTTCCTGCCGCACAGGGGAACCTGCCTTGACTTGATGTCAGTTGGGGCTGTTCACACAAAGAAACCAGGAAACACAGCAGCCTCCCTGCTTCTCTGAGTATTGGTTGGGGACGGTCAGTTTGAGAGATCTTGTGCATCCCTGGAGGCCTCGCTCCCCCGTCCCCCAGAGCCTGGGTGTCAGACCGTCTCTGCCTCTCCCCTTCCCCTTTCCATCCTGCACAGAACACTAACCCTGGCGTCCCTGGCGTCTGTGGCCCCATCGCCCTCTGACCTCCCTGACAGCACTGTGATCTCTTGCAGGGCAGGGGCCATGCTGTGACTCTGCCTGGATCCTCCACGCCCCGCACAGAACCCGCAGGGGGTGTTGACTCAGCAGGGCCACAGCGATGCGTGACTTAATGAAGTTGCTTTCAGTAGAAGGTGAGAGAATTTTAACACCAGTCTGCAGTTTTTCCTTCTAACACCATGAAATCTGTGACAGAGACCGAGAAAGTGTCATTCCTGCCCTGACATCCCAGTACACTAACAAAATAACCTCTAGCAACCTCAGTAAACAGAGCAGGCCAGTGTTCTCACCTAGGCTGATGTACTAGGGAAACCAGCAAACACACCCAGAGCCCTGCAGCCCGAGCTCCTCCCTACCCCTCACTCTGGCTCATGTCCGTCCCATCCCGACCCTGCATGTCATCTGGAAGCTCCCACAGTGCTTAGCTGTGTAAAATCTACAGACCAACTCCAGCTCCATGTGCAGGCCTAATTCTGCAGAAGTATGTGATCATGATAAACTTTTAAATGCAGGCTCAAACAAAGCAACTCTGTAAATATTTCAGTGTGCCCACCTGTTCAAATTATTCACCACAATGAGGTCACCATCCCCCCTGGCTCTCTCTCTCTACTTTTTGTGCTATTGTTCCCGTTTAACAATAGATGCAAGTTAATAAAACCCAATTAAAGATGGGGGGGATGCAGTTTGTAATGATTCAGATAGAATATCCACTCATGAATAATTAGCATAAAGAGCATAAATGTTTCGCGAGGAATTTTGAGCTGTCCTGTGCCCCTGATGTCTAATGAGCTTTCACACACGACTCCAAACTGTGCTTTCGGCCACCGCCTCATTTTGCAGTGCTTCGCGAACATGGTTTGAAACAACAGATTAAAATGTGAAAGGAAAATAAATCTTGAGATCTCAAAACCACGAAGGATATTCCTGTGGACCAAGGACAGGCAGAGCTCACAGTCGTCCCTCTGGTCACATGGGATGAACGCGTTTCTGGGCTCCCTCCGCCGTATTGCTTCTTGAAGCCAGACGAAGGCATGAGTGACTCTTCCTGTAAATTGTTCAATCAGCGAACGATGAATCAGAAACTCAAAATAATGCAACCATTTGTCTGTTATCTACCTATGACCTGGAAGCCCCTCCTTGGTTCGAGTTGCTCTTTCTGGATGGAAGCAATGTCCATCTTACGTATGTTGATTGATGTCTCACGTCTCTTGAAAATGTATAAAAGCAAAGCTGTGGCCCGGCCACCTTGGGCACATGTCGTTAGGATCTCCTGAGGCTGTGTCATGGGTACATCCTTAACCTTGGTGAAATAAACTTTCTACATCAACTGAGACCTGTTAATTTGGGGTTAACAAAAATATACCTGTGGAAAGATTTAAATAAAAATATCAGCCTGTATTTCTACTTTGGTTTACAGTGCTCACAAACGTGGTTCCAGCTTTTTATCTAATTATTACGACTCACTAGTAGTTTCAGTCACAGGCCAATCTCGTCTCACATCCTCCTTCTGAACCCATCAGTGTTCTTGGTCAAGCACCTGGCTGGCAACGAGCCGGGAGTACAGACATGGGAGTGGTTTGAGGTGTAGAAACAGCCCCAGCTTCAGAGCCCTGGCTTCAGATGTGAGAACAAGCATTTGGAATTCTGATAATTTCAAACAGACCTGCACACACCCCTCCTTTGAGGAAATGCTTTCCCCAAATACTTACAGAACTAATTGACCAATGAAAACATATTCAAGAAGAGTGAGTGCTTGATCTCAAACTCTCCGACGAAGCTGCCCTGCGCTCTTCTGTTTCATAGGTTTCCAAACACATGTTCCACACTCGGATGAAGCCATTGTGGCCTCCTCGGATTTGCTTCCTGCAGATGTTTGCTTCCATCCGTGGTTTGGCAGAGAACAGAGCACTACGTTTCCAGCACGTCCTGCTCATCCTGCTGGGGCCCGGACACTTCTTCAGTCAGAATAATTAATATTGTCAGGTACGTGGTGTTTGACGATGCCTGAAAGTTATTTCATTTGAGGCCATTGCATGTTAACCTCCCAGAGAGGGTGTCATCTCTGCAGAACGACCCCCAGGACCTGGTGCTCACATGGACCCTGCTTCCATTGCATCCTGATCCAGGTACAACAGGTGCCTGCGACAGGCGGGGAAACAGAACCAATAGAAAATGCACATGCATGCACACACACACACACACACACACACGCAGGAGTTACGAAGAATTGGCTTAGGAAATTGTTGAGGCTGAGGAGTCCCAGGATGGGCCGTTGCAACCTGGAGACCCAGGAAAGCCAAAAGTTCCAGTCTCAGTCTGAAGACCTGAGGAACAGGAGAGCCAATGGGGTGAATCTTAGTCCAAGGGCAGGAGAGGACACAGGTCCCAGCCCAGCAGTCAGGCAGGAAAGGGGAGTTTCTCCTTCCTCCGCCTTTTGTTCTGTCCATGCCCCGAAGCACTGGAAGGTGCCAGCCACTCCACAGAGGGTGGCCAACTTGATGAGGTCCACTGATTCAGATGTTAATCTGTTTCAGGAACACCCTCACAGACACACCCAGAACAATGTTTGACCTGGGCACCCGGTGCTGGTCAAGCTGACACGTGGAATAAACCATCGTCATAGAGGAATGTCCATAGAAGGACTTCCATGGAGGATCTTCCATAAACAGACTTCGATAGAGGATCCTCTATAGAGGGACTTCCATAGAGGGAATTCCATAGAGGATATTCTATAGAGGGACTTCCATAGAGGGACTTCCATAGAGTACTTCAATAGAGGGAGTTCCATAGAGGACCTTCCATAGAGGACTTCCATAGAGGACTTCCATAGAGGAATTTTCATAGATGGACTTCCACAGAGGGAATCCCATAGAGGAACTTCCATAGATAGATTCCATAGAGGTACTTCCACAGAAGGAATCCCATAGAGGAAATTTCATACAGGGACTTCCATAGAGGGACTTCCATAGAGAGACTTTCATAGAAAGACTTCCACTGTGGGACTTCCATAGAAGGACTTCCGTAGAGAGACTTCCATAGAGGATCTTCCATAGAGGGAGTTCCATAGAGGGACTTTCATAGAGAGATTTCCATAGAGGGGCTTCCATAGAGGGACTTCCATAGGGGACTTTCATAGAGGGACTTCCATAGAGGGGCTTCCATAAGGGACTTCAGCTGTGGGACTTCCATAGAGAAACTTCCATAGAGAGGCTTCCATACAGGATCTTCCATAGGGGGAGTTCCATAGAAAAACTTTCATAGAGAGATTTCCATAAAGGGGCTTTCATAGGGGACTTCCATAGAGGGACTTCCACTGTGGGACTTCCATAGAGGGACTTCCACTTTGGGACTTCCACAGGCGACTTCCATAGAGGGACTTCCATAGAAGGACTTCCATAGGGGACTTCCATAGAGGGACTTTCATAGAGAGACTTCCACTGTGGGACTTCCATGCCCCATTCTCTGAGGCCATGAGGTGGGGATACACTGGCCCTCGGGGGACCTCCCTGCCTCTCAGCCATGGCGGTTGTCACCTGTGGTAAACAGAATGGCGGGAGCAAGCGGGATGTCCTCGGGCGCGTGCCCTATCCATGAACGTGGTGCAGCCTGCAGTGTGAGTCTGATGGGAACTGAAGGAAGAGGAGGTGGGAAGAGCACAGGGCCCTCCACAGCCACAGTTCCAGGTGTAGGTAAGGCTGAAAACCAAACCTGAATGTTGAGTTCAGAGTAAATCAGGGGCCTGGAGAGTTTGAAACTAAACTTTTGTGAAATTCTAGCAAAAAGTAAAAAAAAAGAGGCAGGCTGTTGGATGTCCAAATATTCAGTCCAGCTTGGAATTCACTTTTTTCTCCTCGGCTTTGACATTTTCACCCTTCCCAACAGTCATCCCAGCAACAGGCCTCCTCCATGTCCCTCAGATCTGATGGAAGACCTGAGTGGTGATGGCCATTTCTTGTTGCTCTAATAGTTCCTCCTTTGGTGGAATCTGCAGCCATCTTTCCTCCTGGTGGAATGGACTTGTGTTCTTTGAGTTTTCACTTTTTAACTAACAAGTCCTCCATGTTCTCCCCAAGCCCAGTGTCACTGGTTTTCAGCTTGACTGCTGCTTGGGTTGGGGGGTTATTAGGCTTGATTTACTGGGTAGCTTCTCAGAAATGTCATCTCTGCATCTTGGACCATGTTTGCCAAGGAGCAGTCAGGCTGCAGGCCCTGCAAAGCCACCCACTGGGTCTGACCCAGTGTGGCCTTGGGGCACAGGGAAAGAGGAGTGTCCCAGTGTCACCAGGGGATGGGTCACCCCCTCTTGGCAGAGCCAGCCCAGGGATTCTCCGAGTCAGGCCTGTCTCCAAGCTGACTTCCAGGCGGCAGCTCATTCCTGAACCTGAACCCCGTTTGTCACATGTGCTGAACATGTGCCCCGGCGTGGGAAGCTGTGCAATCTAAAGGCACTGTCGAAGTTCACTTGGGTCTGACAGACATCTTCCTTTAACACCTGAGAGGAAGACTCTGCAGTCCAGGATGGTTTAAAACAAAAAACCCCTGTATCTCCATAATCCTTGGCTTCCCCATGCTCCAGCAGACTGGAAACAGCTGCTTTTCTTCCTAAGGATTCCTTCAGGTGAGAGTTAGAATCCTTTGTAAAATTTTCCTGAGGAGCGAGGCTCTCTCCCGCTGATGAGAGGCCACAGGACCAAGATGCTGGAGGTCGCGACTGGGAGGTGCAGGTTCCCAGGGCCTGGACTTCCATGGCCCCAGGGCACAGGCAGCATGATGCTGAGAGAGCTGCTGTTTACAAGGTGACGACCACATCCTGGCCTAAATGCACTCCCGTCCCAGGGGTAAGGTGTTAATTAGTGTAGGACACCTCTGCGGTGGAGGGGACAGGAAGTGCCCCTGAGTGATTAGGGTTCTAATGACGGCTCCTGGGAGTGGAATGCTTTGCTGCGCTGCGGGCCGCCTTCCCTGAGCCTGAGCTTAGTGTTTTGTGAATGTGCGACAGAAGTGGCCACATGGAAACGTAGGTAGCTTCTTTTTCCTTCTCCACTTAAACACTGGCTTTATTCAGTGACTGCCCTTCCTGGAGTCGGAGTTGACTGAACTGCTCAGTGACTTTCCACCTCGTTTCCAAGCGACAGGAAGCCAGGTTTTCCTCTGTTTACGTATTTCTTCCGGACTTCTCTTACAACCTGGGATGGCCTGAAGAGCGTTTGAGAGGCTGAGATGAAGAGTTTTACTCCTTTTGTCCACATGCCGCATGGAGACGCATGACTGAGATGGAAACCACAGTATCCTGCTGGACTTCTCTGCTTTCCCCCGAGGAGCTCCTTTCATGCCTCCACCACGGAGCCAGTGCTGTGATGGAGGAAGAGGAAGGGCGAGCCCTCTCCTTCCCCTTTCCTCCCTTTGGTATCACATTTATTAGGGTCCGTACCTGGGAGTCTTACTGGTGATGATGAAGAAATGCTTTTCAAGATTTACTTAACAGCAGTTATTGACGGAACACTCTCACCCACAGCGATGACTTAATGAGAGGCTACACTGTGTGCTCGGGGTGACCAACGGTACCCAGACACCAACCCTGCCCAACGGGGGCTTCAACCCCATGCTATGAAGGCCAGATTCACAGAAAAGTGTCGGTTACAGACAAGGACGTGATGAGCTTGGAAACACTGCTGCGATCCCATGGAAGGTGGCCTGAGTTCAGCACAGACATGAGCACTTCACGGATGGGGAAGTGAAAAGCTGAGTGGACTTTAGGGCTTTGGCACCAGCTGGGACATGGCATCTGCCTTGCAGTGTCCAGAACAGGGACAAAGAACAGGCTGGCACCTGGTCTGGGTGTGCCTATTGGGTCACATAGAGACCTCTCTGATGGGCACCTGGCCTGGGCATGGCTGTCTAGTCACACAGGAACCTCCCTTCTGATGGGCACCTGGCCTGGGCATGGCTGTCGGGTCACACAGAGACCTCTCTGATGGGCACCTGGCCTGGGCATGGCTGTGCAGTCACCCAGGGACCTTTCTCTGATGAGGAACAGCATGGCGGTCCATCACCTGGATGGCTTCGTCCAGATGGGACAGGATGGACGAGAGGAGGCCACCACAGTGGGATCTTGGTGAGAAACAAATGCCCAGGGGGTGGGAGATAAATCCTGCAAAGGTTCAGAGTCCTGTCACTTCGCTGAAGCTTTTTAGGAGTCCTGTACCAGGGTAGGCTGGAGTCTTCTCTCTGGGTGAGAAATGAATGGCTGCATCTTACAAACCTCACTGACAATGCAGCTGCAGACTGTGTGGGCCTGGCAGGAAGGGCTTGGCAGCAGGTCAGGCTGCGGGTCGACATTCCCACTTATGGTGCTGCAGTATCGGGGAGGACTCTGGTATGGAGTTTGTGGCAAGCCTGGGTGAGGAAATGCAGGTACCCAGGCATTGGAACAAGGCCATGCACCTGCAGCATGGGGGACTCTGGTATGGAGTTTGTGGCAAGCCTGGGTGAGGAAAGGCAGGTACCCAGGCACTGGAAGAAGGCTGTGCACCTGCAGCAGAGAATTATCTGTCTTCCAAAGTCAGCCCTGGCATGTAGGTGAGCCCGGGGCACTAAGGGACCCTGTCCTCACCCTGCCCATCATGAGCCCACCAGGACAGGCCCCCACTGTCCATCTCGAGATGGGGCGGGACATCTGGATTATGCTTGAACAGGACCAGAGGAAGTGAGGAAGCTCCATGATTGTGGGCACACCCCCCCAAGCCTCCCCCATTCCCTCCCTGAGTTCCTACAGCCCACACTTGGTCCCTGGGGCCAGCTCGGTGCAGGGGCCCAGGTATGTATCATCTTAGTGTCCACCAGAGGGAAGCTTTACCCACTGTGCAGGAATCACTGGGCAGCCACGGGCCCGTGGGCTCAGTCGGCCTCTGGTATGGTGGACACAGGAACTAGAAGGCTCCAACTTAAGCTCTTTCTTTTAATCTCCTAAAATACTCCTGGGGGCCTCCATGTTTTGAGTATTCATTCACGTGTTCACTCATTTATTCAAGAGATATTTAATGCAAGTGCTGGGGATTGGTCAGCATGTGTACTTAGTAAATATGACCGAGTGATGGGTGAACCAATGCATCTGTATGGAAGTAGACAACACAATAAAAAATAAGACCAGAAAATCAAGATATGATGGTTAAAAATGAAGCCTGCTTTTCCCGGGTGGAAATTCCTGCACAGACTGATCAGAATGTTTGAAGTGAAACATGTTATTATTATTCTGTAAAATCATCTGTCTTAGAAAGGAGAAAAGAGAATGCTCTTTTATACACTTTATTATGTTTAAGAGAGATTGGTTTATAAACATCAAACAATAGATGTCACTAAAGTTGTTTTTGGTTCCATTAACGTAGGGTGAGGTTGTAGGATCGGCTTAAACTGGATTTTGTGTGTGTGTGTGTGTGGGAAAAGGCAGCACTTTTCCCAAGTGAATGGACCATGCTTTCTTTCCTCAATTTTTATTTTGCTTTCTCTCTTGAGTGCTTGGCACCTAGAAATGGACAAATTCCAACAGAAGCTGAATGTTAGCGTATTCTTTTCCAATTAAGATATAATTCACATACTGTAAAATGTACACTTTTAGGGTGTACAATTCAGTGACACTAAGTAAATTTGCAAAATTGTGCAGTCTTCACTACTATCTAATGCCAGAACATTTCATCACCCGCTGCCTAATGAACCTGGTATCCACTGGCAGTTCTGCTCCACTTCCAGACCCGAGCATTTATTATCTCCTTCCTGAAATTTGGCTGAACTTATTAGCTCTAATTGTTTTTTGTTCTTTTTGTGTGGGTATGGATCTTCAGGATTTTCCTTATGTGAATAGAAATAGCTTTACTTGTTTTCCCGTCTGGCTGTCTTTTATTTCTTTTTCTTACCTAATCACCCTGGCCAGAACTTCTAGTACAATGTTGATTGAAGGTGGTGAGAGCAGACATCCTGGTCTTGTTTCTGATGTAGGGGGAAAACTTTTAGTCTTACCGTTAGATATAAGGCTGTGAGTTTTTGTAGATGTTCTTTGTCAAGTTGAGAAAATTGTGTCCCATTTCCAGTTTGTTGAGTGCTTTTATCATTAAACAGTGTTTGATGTTATCAAGTGCTTCTTTTGGGATGAGTGTCTATTGAGACGAGTGTGTGTGTTTTTGTTTTTATCTTTATTAATATGGTCCTGCATCATCAATTGATGTTTGCACATTGAGCCATCCTTGCCTTCCTAACACTATTCAGCACTGATGCTTTTAGTACTTAGATGACAATATAGCTGCTGTAGCCTTCTCCTACCCCAGTTAAGACATTATTCAAACATAGTAAGCAGAACACAGAGAAAACTACTTATGAATACATTAATACTTGTTTGGAAACCAAGTATTTTTTGGTAGCTGAAAAGTATTCAGACTTCTTGTTGAGGCTCTGGGGCTTTTCTCTCTATAGCTAAGTCTTTAATCATAAATGTACATACAAAGTAACTGATGAACACGAATAATAACCAGTATTTATTAAAATCTTACATTAGCTTCATTTGTTCCCATAATACCTAGTGGGTTAGTTATTAACAATCCCATTTTACAGGCCAAGAAACTAAGACTTGGCAAGGCTCCTTAATAAACTTAAAACTATAACTCTTTGACATCAATATCAAGTCCTGTTTCTTTCTGTTTTTTAATAAATTTCAACTTTTTCTATAGATTAAAGGGTGCATGTGTAGATTTGTTACAGGGGTAAATTGCATGATACTGAGGCTTGGAGTCCCAATGATCCTGTCACCCAGGCCGTAAGTGTAGTACCCAACAGTTGGTTTTTCAGCCCATGCCTCCCACCCTCCCTTCCCCTCTAGTGACCCCCGCTGGTGTTCCCACCTTCACAGTTGTGTGTATCTGATGTTTAGTTCCCACTGGTCAGTGAGAACATGTGGTATTTGGTTTTCTGTTCTTGTGTTAGATTGCTTAGGATAAAGGCCTCCAATTCCTTCATGTTGCTGCAAAGGGTATATTTAGTTCTTTTTTATGACTGTGTAGTATTCCATGGTGTATAGGTACCATGTTTTCTTTATCCAGTTCACTGTTGATGGGTATATATGTTGATTCCATGTCCTTGCTGCTGTGAATACTGCTGCCATGAACATATAAGTGCAAGTGTCTTTATGATAGAATGAATTATTTTCCTTTAGTATATACCCAGTAGTGGGAATGCTGGGTGAATTGGTAATTCTATTTTAAGTTCTTTGAGGAATCTTCAAACTGCTTTCCACAGTGGCTGAACTAGTTTTCATTCTCACAAACACTGTGTAATTGTCCCTTTTCTCTACAGCCTCTGTAATTTTTTGACTTTTTAATAATAACCATTTGGACTGGCATGAGATGATATCGCATTGTGGTTTTGTTTTGCATTTCTCTGATGATTAGCAATGTAGATAATTTTTTCATATGTTTGTTGGCTGCTTGTGTGTCCTCTTTGGAGAAGTGTCTGTTCATGTCCCTTGCCTATTTTTAAATTGGATTGTTTGGTATTTTGCTTCTTGATTTGTTTAAGTTCTTTGTAGATCCTGGATATTAGACCTTTGTCAGATTTATAGTTTGCAAATACTTTCCCCCATTCTGTAGGCTGTCTGTTTACTCTGTTGATAATTTCTTTTGCTGTGCAGAAGCTCTTTAGTTTAATTAGGTCCCACTTGACAATTTTTCTTTCTGTTGCAATTGCTTTTGGGGACATAGCCAACAATTCTTTGCCAAAGCTAATGTTGAGAAGAGTATTTCCTAGGTGTTCTTATAGGATTTTCATAGTTTGAGGTCTTACATTTAAATATTTCATCATCTTGAGTTAATTTTCATATACAGTGAGCGACAGGGCTCCATTTTCATTCTTCTGCACATGGCTAGTCAGCTATCCCAGCACCATTTATTGAAGAGGGAGTCTTTCCCCATTGCTCTTTTTTGTTGGTTTTGTTGCAGATCAGATGGTTGCAGGTGTGTGGGTTTATTTCTGGGTTTCCTATTCTGTTCCAGCGGTTTTTGTGTTTGTTATTGTACCAGTATCATGACCAAGCCCAGTTTCCAACCATTAGGAGAGGGCTGGCCTCTGCATTTCTTTACTATAATGAGGTGGCATTTATCATAACCTGCAAACCTAATGTGTTCGGGAGGGAGTCAGGAGGGATTACATCCCACTGGCAACTACATCCCACCCACACCTATGTCCCACCCACACCCAGTGAGGGAGTACCTCCCACCCACATCCAGTGAGGGAGTATATCCCACCCACACCCAGTGAAGGATTGTGTCCCACCCACACCCAGTGAGGGAGTGTGTCCCACCCACACCCAGTGAGGGAGTGTATCCCACCCACACCCAGTGAGGGAGTGTATCCCACCCATACCCAGTGAGGGAGTGTATCCCACCCATACCCAGTGAGGGAGTGTATCCCACCCATACCCAGTGAGGGAGTGTATCCCACCCATACCCAGTGAGGGAGTGTATCCCACCCATACCCAGTGAGGGAGTGTATCCCACCCATACCCAGTGAGGGAGTGTATCCCACCCACACCCAGTGAGGGAGTACATCCCACCCACATCCAGTGAGGGAGTATATCCCACCCACACCCAGTGAAGGATTGTGTCCCACCCACACCCAGTGAGGGAGTGTGTCCCACCCACACCCAGTGAGGGAGTGTATCCCACCCATACCCAGTGAGGGAGTGTATCCCACCCATACCCAGTGAGGGAGTGTATCCCACCCATACCCAGTGAGGGAGTGTATCCCACCTACACCTAGCATAGTTGGGACTGGGGTGAGGGACACCTGGAGCACCCACAAAGGCCGCATCAGGAGCTCACCGGGCTGGAGCACTGGGTGTTGAAAGAAGTGTGCAAACACTCCAGACAATCCATTCAACCCGTGAGTCCACTGTTCTCCCACTCTCAGCTCTCATGTCGCCGTTGCTCTTCCTGACACCATGCTCAAGTTCTCAGATGGCTGGTTGGAATTCCAATTTAGGAGACGTGTGATTGCCTTTTAAAGTATTACCTTCAATAATCCTTTATAACAGTTCTCTCAGAAGGGACCAAGCTACAAGAAGTCCTTTCTTTGCTCTCTCTTGTCCAGTGGTCACAATACACTTCTCTCATCCATTCTTCATGAACGTGTCCCTTCACCAAAATGGTCACGTGCCCACTCTGTGCCAGGGCTTAGGCGAGGCTTGGGAACGTGAAAGAAGCTGCGGCTGGCTTGTGCCTGTGGGCAGACGGGTGTGCACATGCAGCATGGCAAGACAACATGTGGCCTCCGGAGTGCAGCTGACTCCAGCTGGGTGTGGTGTGGTGTAGGGGTCCTTTCTCTGGCAGGGTGTGGAGGGAGGCCGCAGTGGGGGGGTCATCACTGCAATGATTCTGGGCTTATCACCTAATCTGTGGGTTGTAAATTCCTTTTGATTGTCCCGACTCACTCTTCTGTCCCTCGGCGACTGACACTGCCACCAGACCCTGGAAGGAAAGGAACAGAGGTAGCAGAAATCCAAAGCACACGCTTTCAGACCTGAGTTTAAAACCACAGTCGAATGCCATTAGGGTATTTGTGGATGGTTTATCAGTGGTCTCTGTTTGGGGTCCCCCAGCTTTGTGTTGACTTTGTGTTTCACGAGGACATCATGTACCTGCTTGGTGGGGAGCCAGTGTCCCCATAACCATGAGCTCCTGCATGTCCCTCTCCCAAACAGAACGCTTGAGTGTGGGGAATTGCCTGTGAAACATGGACTGGGTTTGCTGTGTGGTTCTGAGACCTCATCGTGAGGAAAACTGGGTGCAGAGGGTGGGTCTCTTGCCAAGCCTGAGCCCAGCCTGGGGTCCCCACCCCAGCCTCTTGCCAGCAGCAGGTGTGGAGTCAGCTTTTCCTCTAGGACCCGGCACGGCGGCACATCCATGAGACCCCAGACAAGCAATAGGGCTTTGTTGTTTTCCCATCTCTGGCCAGGGTCAGACCCAGCAGCTCTAAATTCATGACATTCCCTGTGTTTCTGCTCTCTAGCTCATAATAAGCTGGTAGCTTAGCCACCTCTTTTTAAAATTGGCTAGGAAGGCAGGAGAGCTTTACAACCCAAACAGTCAATTTCAAACTGCCGAACCCAATCAGGCCGGATGGAGAGTGACCCTTTAAATTGATTGTGAAATTGGAAGATGGCTCCTTGTCCTCCTGCAGGGTGTGTGGGGAGCCATCACTTCCTTCCTAAATGGGAGCTGCAGCCTGTGCCTGCACACGCCCTGCCCAGCACCCCAGTGCCTGACTTTGAGGCCGGTTCTGGGGAGCACAGGCCGGGCGTCCGGCCCGCCGCCAGCCGGCGCAGCATCCAGATGCCACGGCTTTATGCACTTGTACATCTATGCTGTGTCTCTCTCAGGTTCTGATTTTAATTTGGGTAATATTCCCGTGAATAATAACATCTAATTACAACATCCATTAAAAGTTAGTAACATTAATTTAACAGGGAGAAAATCTAATAGAGTTCTTAGAGTGATACTGGCATTTTTCCATTAAATTAATGTTACAAACTTTTAACAGGATGTCTTAAACAGGCATCGTTAGTGTTGGGAATATTAAACAAATTAAATTCAGGCCTGGAATATGAGGTGGGAGCCCATTTATGAATCCAAACAAGGTGTCTGCCGACCTCTTTCATGCACTTAAAATATCCAGCAGGAAGCCGCAAGGCAGTTCAGTGGCCGCGGCGCCCAGGACTTCTGGTGACTTCCAGGGGACGGAGTGCCCCTTGGGCCTGGTGCCCAGCGATCCGTCCCTACACAGTTTGAGGGCCTCAGGGTGTGCCACTATTTCACCTTAAATTCTCAAATTTCTCTCTGAAATTCATCATCTTGCCTGAGTTTTGTTTCCTGAGTGTCACGAAGCCACAGCACTGGTGAATCCATGAAGACTCTGTAGCTAATGGCTCAGCAGGCCACGGAGGGTCCCTGAGGGCCAGGGGGCATTGTTGGGGTGTCCCGGCCAGCTTGCTGTTGTGAGTGAAGCTGGGGGATGGACGGTTCCCGAGACCCTAAAACTCACCTGAGCCTGGGCAGCCGGGGCTTTCTCTCAGGAGCAGGAAACCTCAGATGCTCGGCTCCTGTCAGAGAGAGAGAAGGGGAACTTTGATGCCTCCATTACCAAGTATTAGAAAACTGATTCTGTTTGACATTTACAAAGCTCAGAGATTTGTGACCGAGATAGAATTTCACTGAGACTGTCCCATGAAAGCAAACATTACATACATGCTTAGAAGTGGTTTATCAGGCTTCCATAAAAGTTAGGACAAGAGATGATGGAGTAGAAATGAGCCTTGACACTTGGGGAGAGGAGCGACCCCCTGGGTTTCCAGAAGTCCTTTGTCCCCAGGATGCTGTCGCCCCCCTGTCGTTGTCCAAAGTTGGAGCACAGCCAGAGATTTAGGGACATGGAGCTCTTGGTGGCCTCGGCTCCCTGCCGGGGGCCTCTCCATATGATAAATGTCCTCATTCCTTTACAGTCAGGAAGTGGGGTCTTCTGGGAGGGACAGAAAGGTTATGCTTCTAGCTTCTGAAGTGGTTGGTTTGGCCACGGGAGCTGCTGGGCGTGAGCTTTGCAGCGGGGGGTGCCTGGGCTTTGATGCCAATTCTACCTCTGTAGGAGCTGGATAATTTTAAGCAAGTCTGAACACGCAGAGCCTCAGTTTCCTCATGTGTAAAATGGGAATAAGAACACTTTGGGGTACTACTTTGGGAGCAAAGATCTGTTGTGCAAACTGCAGTCGGGATGACTGTTTACTTGGCCTGAGAGTCAGGAGGAAGAAATCCGAACATGCTAGCCTGTTGAGCCCTAAGCACACATCCTCCTGGCAGGCTGCTCGTTGCTCCCCCCACAGCAGCATCTGATGTGTCCTGGGAAGGGTCAGTGGGTGGGAAGATCAGAGTCAGAAACACCCAGCTGTGCTTCCGTGGGGCTGCGGTGCACACGCCTGTTCGCCGGGCTATGCTGAGCCTGGCTGCAAGGCCTCAGGCAAGTGGTCATGGAGAGGACAGGCTTCGTGTCATGACCTTGTTCGGGTTTCGTGAAAGGCATTTGAGTTATGAAAAGCCCAAGCAGACGTCATCACAATCAACATGGCCAATGTGTCTTGGTGATTACTGAACGAGTTTTTATGGAAGACACATTTTTATATGGCACATGTATATTGCCTTGATAGGTTTTCTAATTCGTGATTTAAAGAGTGTATAAAATAAGTCTCTGCATTGCATAGCGGCTTAAAGAACAGGGCGGTGGTTAGGGAAGGAGTGGTAGAAGGGTGACTTCCCCCTGGGGTGGGGGCAGGTACACACAGGGAGGGGGATTATGGGATGGGGATGAATAGATATGTGGCTGGGCTGTTTTCAATTTCGAGAATAGAAGAATTTCAAACTTGAAAATATTACAACTTCTTATTATCTTTAAGAAAAGTATACATGTGCCATGTTGGTGTGCTGCACCCATTAACTCGTCATTTAACATTAGGCATGTCTCCTAATGCTATCCCTCCCCCCTCCCCCCACCCCACAACAGGCCCTGGGGTGTGATGTTCCCCTTCCTGTGTCCAAGTGTTCTCATTGTTCAATTCCCACCTATGAGTGAGAACATGCAGTGTTTGGTTTTTTGTCCTTGAGATAGTTTGCTGAGAATGATGGTTTCCAGCTTCATCCATGTCCCTACAAAGGACATGAACTCATCGTTTTTTAAGGCTGCTTAGTATTCCATGGTGTATATGTGCCACATTTTCTTAATCTAGTCTATCATTGTTGGACTGCACATTGTGCACATGTACCCTAAAACTTAAAGTATAATAATAAAAAAAAAGAAAAGTAGTGTGTTAGATTAGACTTTTTCTTATAGAAAGTCTGGTGCAAGGTTTATTGCTGCCTACTACACATGGTATTAGAAGGTATTAGAAGGCAGCTATGCACTATACAGATACATGCATCTCTGAAAAAGTCATAAAAACTTGTATCTTCATCATATTTAACTGAACTCAGTAAAAACTGATTAAATAGAGAAATCCTGAGTGTCTACAGCTCTGTTTTTACCCATTTCCTTATATGATTTTATACAATGTCATGTACGTGCCTATGTATGTGACTGTGCATACACACACATCAATATGCACTTGGCATTGGGGGCAGTCCTTCCACAGTGGGAGTCGTATGTGTCTACTCATATGTGCGCGTGACAGGAAGGTCACAGGCTAAGACATTTTGCTTTAAATGTGTGGACACTGGCCTGAAGGCGGAGTCTAAATGCTGGGTCTGCCCTACTGGCCTGTGGCTGTGGGCCCAGCACTTTCTCCGTGGCCTCAGTTTTCTCGTCTGTAAAGTGGGGTCTTCATAGCCACCTGGTAGGGCCATTCTAAGTATAAGAAACCATGCCTAAAGTGCTGAATCCCACGTTTCCTTCCTACCACTTACTCAATAAATGGAAGCTATTACTCTGTGTTTTCAAACATCAGCTTACAAGTGGAGAAGTGAGTTGAATGAGTTTTTAAAGGCTTTCCTAAATCTATGGTTTAATGAAATTATAAATATGTATATATTATTGCAACAGAAAAGCTTTGTGGTAATTCCTTTGCTATTCATATCATAGTCATCTCTGAGACACTAAGCCAGTCTAGGAAGTACATGTGTCTGAAAACGCTGATTGAGGTTAATATGCGGCAAACTGCTTTCATATCTGAATGCCCCTGAAACATAAAATGATGATATCAGATGGGGCCCTTTGCTTCAGAAACTCACTGCAGCTGGGAGAGCATTCCACTTAGAAAACAAATGGGCTCCATATAAAGGGGTAAATTTAGTGTAATGGATAATGTATACAAGATGACTTGGATCCAGATGGAATTCAGTCAAGAGCTAAGCAGTGTGGTGTATGGATCGCTGAATCTGTATCTGGAGAAAAGTTGTAAAGTGGGAATACGGACAGGAGCAAAATATGAAAAAGAGAAAAGGTACGAGTGTCCACTTAAACAGCGCATCAGAGCACGCGAGCGTTTTCTTGTCACACACGTGTGCGTTGTCTAAACGTGCAAGGGAGAGAATTCCCGAGCCGGGCAGAGCACTGCTGTGAGTTGCTCAGGAAAGGCCTCCTAACCTCAAGGCGGGTCCACAGAATCAATGGCGCTAAGCTACTGTTAATTACTTTGATCTGCCGTAATAACTTTATTCAGACGGGGTAGGGAGCTGGGTTAACTTTTCCTCGCTGTCAGAAATCCACGCTCCAACAGTGGGACTCGGGTCAGCCCCTGCGAGGGAGGAGGCCTCGTGGAAGCCCTGCCAGCCCGCACCCCACTCACCTCATTTGCTCAACTGGGCAGGAGTCACCCCCCAGCTCGGATTAATACCTGCAAATCCTCCCTTATGGAGCCAGGGCATGCGAGTGCTGCTTAAATAAACTAACCCCTCCCTGAGTGAACAAGGAGGGGTCTCTAAAGAGAATGAGATGAGCCGCAGACCGCAAACACACCGGGAACAGCACCCGTTCTGGAGACACCCCTTGGCCTCCTGACACGAACACGCAGATTCTTCATTAAAAATCACTCTGAAGCCCCAGTGCTTAAACAACTCAACGAATAAACGTGTGCATAGAAAATACTTCAAGCGCACTCTGCCAAATGCACTTTGATTTTTCCATTTGTTGTTATGCTAGGTTGTCTGGAGGTCGGCTTTAAGTTTCCAGGTCCCGAGGAAGTGAGTCTAAACGTAATCGTGGCATGTAAGCGGCTGGGCTGTGGGCTCAGCTTCCAAACCGCAGCTGGGCACTGATTTTCCAGCCAGACAGGCTCAGCCTCTTTTCGGTATAGATGCAGCACCGGCATTGGTGGAGGGAAATGATTTAATTATTAAAGCTGTGAACTTTACGTCCGTTCTTTCCCGTGTGTTCACGATGATCTCATAATTTCCACATGGACACTCCTGTCTGTCACGTTTCTCAAAGCTGCACCCACACGTGGATCCCACTGCACGCCTTCATGCAGGAGCGGTGTGTCCCGGGAGTTTCCCTGACTCCTGTTCTTAGAGGGACAGAGCGACCTCAGGACCTTCTCAAAAGAAGAAGGGATGTGGCAGACCTGGGGGCACCTCATTAAATGAAATTCTGGGGAGCATTGGCAGGTGAGGGCCCCTCAAATATGAGGAAAAAGGACTAAGCCTTTAAGTCCACACTTCACATTTCAAGTTGCTGAACTGCGTTTGTTTCAGCTTTGAACAGGTGTCTAACCTACAGAGAAGAGAGGAAAGAGTGTGTGTGTGTCGGGTGTGCGTGGTGTGTGGTGTGTGTTTGTAGTGTGTGTGTGGTATGTGGTGTGTGTGTGTGGTGTGATGTGTGTGGTGTGTCTGTGTGTGTGGTGTGTATGGTATGTGTGGTGTGTGGTGTGTGACTGGTGTGTGTGGTGTGTGTGATTCATGTGTGATTTGTGTGTGTGTGTTTTTATGGTGTGTGTGGTGTGTGTGGGGTGTGGGTGTGTGTGTGTTTGTATGGTGTGTGGGGTGTGCGTGGGGTGTGTGTGTTTGTATGGTGTGTGTGTGGTGTGCGTGTGTGGTGTGTGTGGTGTGAGTGTGTGATGTGTGTGGTGTGTGGGTGTGTGTGTGGGGTGTGTGTATGGTGTGGGGTGTGTGTGTTTGTATGGTGTGTGTGGTGTGTGTGGGGGTGTGTGTGTTTGTATGGTGTGTGCGGTGTGCTTGTGTGGTGTGTGTGGTGCGTGTGTGGGGTGGGGTGTGTGTGTGTTTGTATGGTGTGTGTGGGTGTGCGGGTGTGTGTGGGGTGTGGGGGTGTGTGTGTGATGTGTGTGTGATGTGTGTGTGTAGTGTGTGTGGGGTGTGTGTTTGGTATGGTGTGTGTGGTGTGTGTGTCGTGTGTGAGTGTGTTTGTATGATGTGTGTGTGGTGTGTGTGTGGGATGTGGGTGTGTGTGGTGTGTGTGTGGTGTATGTGGTGTGTATGGTGTTAGTGTGTGTGGTGTGTGTCTGTGTCTGTGTGTGTTTGTGGTGTGTGTGCTGTGTGTGGTGTGTGTATTTGTGTGTGTGGTGTGTGTGTGGTGTGTATGGTGTTAGTGTGTGTGTCTGTGTGTGTCTGTGTGTGTTTGTGGTGTGTGCGTGCCCCCACACACCTTTCCGACGGATGGGGCCATGTCCTTAGGATGCAGAGGGAGGATGGCTGGACATTTCTCTACGGGGGAACGAACACAGCTCCTTGCCTTCCCTCGAGATCCTGACTGGAGTCCAAGCTCCTTAGTAATGCACGAGATAGGCTGCCTATTAAGATCAAACAAAGGACATAGAAAAACAACAACAACAACAACTAGCTTCCACACAGCTCATTTGGTGGAATTTACACATAGCTGTAAATGAATTAAATTGTTAGATACTGGAGTATTGTCTCTGAGTGCGAGCTGTTCATTGAAAAACAGCAGCAAACCCCGTCTCCGTGCAGTTCTTAAAATGTAGCATTTAGTTTATCTGGACATTTCTTGCCTTTGCTTATCTTTCTGCCTATCTTGGAGAACCTCATTAAACAATTAAATGTTCTTTTAATTGGTACGTCTCCTCATTTTATTAGGTGGAGGCAATACGTGTGATGGATTCCCGGGTCTGGCAGTGGCGTGCCTGAGCCTGGGATCCAGCCGGTACCTGGGCGTGTGTGGACAAAACGCCTCCTAACAAGTTCCCGGGCCCTGACACCACGGGCGGCATTCGTGTGGGGAACGCGGGGCACCCGGATGGCTCATCTATTTCTGTGCTCCATTTTAAAAAATGGCCATGGGACAGACACATGGCTTCATCAGAGCTAAATCCGATTTGCCTGTTTGGCTTTCAGAAGTGGTTGAACCAGATGCTCAAAGAACCTGAATCGGCGCTTGTTTGGAAGAGGATGCACTGCAGAAATCCTCCTGTAAGTCACAGTATCCACTTTGGAAATCCTCCTGTAAGTCATAGCATCCACCACATGTCCTGGCTGCGGAAGAGGCTGGTGGCAGCTTCAAAAGACACCTAATCTGTAACCAGCACAAAGGGTGGTCGATGAAGACTCGGTCTCAGTGAATAATTTATTGGCATAAGCTAAGCACCAAACACAGGAGATCACCATAAAACCACAAGGACCAGGACAGCCATTGAGCTTTGTGGCTTCTTCATGGGGGAAGACGTGAGACAAAACGTGCTTGGACTTTTCGTCACAACCCTCGGAAAACAGCACGTCCTGATTTTTCATCCCAGGCTCCTCCAAGTTTAACTTTCTTTAAAAATACATAGGTAATGATGAATATCTATCTATCTATCCTTTTGAAACACAATATTGATATTGGCTATCGGTATCTGGCTTTTCATATCTCCCCCCACGGCTGATATCAGCCACAGGGTAAACAGAAGATCACATTTGTTATAACTGCTATGGGAATGTTATTAAAAATGGATACAGTCACGGTAAATTGGTAGCGGTCAAAATGTATTTTAAATTTACTTGCAGGTGTGTTTGAACACAGAGCATGACACACACACTGCATGCTATAAATATGAGATGTGGAATGAATTATATACCTTATCTAAATTATGACACAGAAGATAATAGTAGCCAACCTCATAATTTAATATCCTTCAGGATGTAATGGTACTTTTTGTTTAACTAGTAGGATTCAGACAATCAGTACAACATAAAACATAAATTAGCACGATGCTAAAACAAACACGAATATTTGTGCATGTTACTATGTAATCAGGTGCCGGCAAACATGGATGTTGCTTTGAGAGCCTGTCTGTTTTTAATTAAAAGAGTGCCACATAGAACACCGTGCTTAACATTAGAGAAGAAACTCAATACAATCTCCCAACCAGCCTATTTATGACAAAATGATTGATTTTCCTTTAGAATGGCCACACCGTAGATTTTGGTAATATGACTTATTGACTAGCGCTCTGAGTGCTTTCAGCACTAATGATAGGTTGAAGATATACCAAATCCCATACACCCTAGGATTTCCTCCACTGTCCGGGAGATTGTGTACATCTGGTTTCTCTCAGCTCTTGAAATTCTCATTAGTGAGGGTTTGCCGAGAGTAAATCCTGGTCTTCGAGGAAGTGAGTTAATTAGGAGTTGGTTTTACACGTTTTCATTGCAATCTTTACACTTCTGTGGAGCCTATTAACAATTGCGGGCTCCCTTCTGCCTTGGGGAGCTGTGGAGCTGGCTGTCCTATGAACGGTGGTCTCAGCAAGGTCATTTAGAGCTTACTGGTGTGAGGGGTGATGGAGACAGTCCTCTAAGAGCACAGTAAATCAATCATGATTAGCACGGGGCCTGCTTCCTGCACAGAGAGGCGAGGTGGGGCTGGGGGAGGTCTGAGGGAGGTGCAGCGGGCAGCGCATGCAGAGAGAGACCGATGTTTCGTGGCTTCGGGCCCCTCTGTAGGGCAATCAGAGTTTGATCTCATTATGGTCAACACTAACATTTCTGGGAGGTCAGCTTTCTCGAGGTTTTGGCAGGAAGAGCCGCGGGAGTGAAGTATTTTTGGAATCCTGTTGGTGCAGTCACTCTGCACGTACTGAGGTTTGCTTTCCCTGAATGCTGGGTGAGAACATCTCAGTGAATGGAGTTTGACACCAACTGATCCCATCCGAATGCATCCTCATCCCTCCATTTGGGCTGCTTTTATTTCGTCTGTTTTTCCCTGAGACAAATGGGTGCCATGTCCTCTGTTGTTTTTGTTTCTCCCTCTGCTCCCTGCTCAGCATCTCCCTCATGACACGCAGGTCCTTCTCCTCAAGTTCTCCCCACGCCCATTCCTTCTGGCCTAACTCTGAAGGTGCTTCTTCCAGGAGGGCCACCCCCCGAACACGCTGGTGCCCTGGGTCCTTTCTCGGCAGCTCTGGGGCTGGAGCTACAGAGGCCAGCGATCTGTGGGCATTTACTTGTTTACAGATGTTAGCTGGGTGTTCTCACCAAGCAGACAATTCTCCGGGCCCAGGAAACATTTAGCACAATTCTTTGCTGTTTCTCACAGTGCCCAGTAGAATGCAAAGGGTATGCGGACTGTCTACAGATACTTGTTGATTAATTGGTGACATGAATGCTTATTGGACTCTAATATTGATCTAAAAACTTTATGAGGGCAGACACTGACAGCAGATGCCGTGATCACAGGAGAGAAAGATACACAAAGACACTTTTAGTGTTGTGTGCGAGTGTGTGTCCGTGGGTGTGAGTGCGACCCTTGTCTCTTATGTGCTTGTCAGAACATGCCAGGAGTTGTGGTGGTCAGAGGAAGCTAACTGAAAACAAAGAAGCGAAAAATAAGAAAAGAATCCCTTGATTGGGTTTTTGAGGCTGTGAGGGTCCTGAGGGGCAGAGGCAGATATTGGAACAGCACAACCTGCCTCTCTGTGCACGCCCTGAGAGCTCAGGCGGTGGCTGGAGGCAGGACCTTGGTCCTCGGCCCCGTCCCCTGGACTTAGGGCTGCACACGACCCAGGCTCCCTCCTTCTCCCGCTGTGTGTCTCAGGCCTCAGCTGCTGCCTCTGAGGGAGCACAAAGATGCACGGTGGGCTCTGCTGTGTGAACCGGTGTCACCTACATCACGTGTATCATTGCTTCACATCACTTAGGAAGTAGACTCTCCTACGGTGGGCCAGGAGGCCACCCCCGTGGTCTCACAAGGGGCAGTCATCACATGGATGAACCGTTCCAATGACCCGGGTTTTCTCTAATATTTCTAGTAGCCTGAATTACAGATGATCGCACCAGAGACTTATCAGCAAGATTCGTTTGGGTGTAGAAACAGCAACAGCACACCATGGCAAGGGTAGCCGAGGCTCCATCACATACCCAGGACCAAGAGGCATTCCTTGGGAACCCAATGATTACTCTCATGAATTTGCAACGTGTTACACTGTCTGAAGCTGGACATATATATTTGTGTCTGTCACTGCTTTCACCCGAGGCTCACTTGGCGAGGGTCTGCCAACACGGCCATCTCTGAGGTGTTGGGAAAGCCTTTTGAGGATGTCTGGCTCCCGAGGGCACGTCCTGGAGAGCCTGCAGAGATGAGACAAGCCCAGCCTGCTGGGGTGAGCACTGGTGTGGGTGGCAGCCCAGGCTTGAGGAGTGGGGGATTGGAGGAGTTCTTTCTTGGGGTCACAGAGGAGGAGAATTTAGCTCAAATTCTCTCTTTTTGAGTTTCCACTCTTCAGTCACAAAATAACTGTCCAAAAAGCCTCCCTTTGTTCCCGCTCCAGCTTTACTGGAGCCCATGATGCCTCATGAATCACAAGGCAATTCAACAACACAGAACACAGCTCCCCATGTGAGCTGTGAGCCTGAACTCAGAACCCAGCTTCCCACGTGGGCTGTGAGCCTGAATTCAGAACCCAGCTTCCCACGTGGGCTGTGAGCCTGACCTCAGAACCCAGCTTCCCACGTGAGCTGCGAGCCTGACCTCAGAACCCAGCTTCCCACGTGGGCTGCGAGCCTGACCTCAGAACCCAGCTTCCCACGTGGGCTGTGAGCCTGACCTCAGAACCCAGCTTCCCACGTGGGCTGTGAGCCTGAATTCTGCCACATGGTGGTAGACCAAGCTGGAACTCGTGACGGACGCCGATGGACATGAAGCCACCTGAACCCAAACCATGGACAGCTCCGGAGAGCCACAGGAGCCGAGGCCTCCACGTGTGCCGTGCTGCTGGGATGCCTGTAACCCTCACATGCTAGAAGACTTGGGATTATACAGAAGAGAAGAAGGTGTGGCTTCTGGAATGCTATAATCTCACCTTTATCTCTGACTATTTAGGACACACTCTTGTTTCTCAGTTTCTCCCTCTCCATCCTCCTTGGGAAGGCCTGAGTCATGTTAGAAAGGGGGAAAGTGCTGAACTTGCTGGGGTTTAAAGCGCCCACTGATGCTGTGGACACCTGGCTCCTAAGTGTTTTGCGGTTTGAGCCATGGCTTGAGTCAACTCCAGTGCTTTTATGGTTGCCATCCCGGCTAGATGTGGGGATCTTCTGTTTCTATGTAATAAATGCATGAACACATCTAAATCATGTTGTTTTTATGTTTAGATTGCCTCCGAGATGGGTGTGTCAGCAGACCTGTGCCAAGTGAGCCTCAGTTGAAAGCAGTGACAGACACAAATCTGTCCAGCTTCAGACACTGTGACATGTTGCACATTCACGAGAATAATTGCTGCATTCCCAAAGAACGCCTCTTGGTCCTGGGTATGTGATGGAGCCTCAGCTACCCTTGCCGTGATGTGCTGTTGCTGTTTCTAAGCCCAAATGTTTTGGCAGCAGTGTCTCTCTAAGGCACCGTGTTTGGTTTTCCGGAAAGGCTTCGTATTTGGCTGTCAGTGGTCCTAGCGTCAATGATACGTGTGCTCATTTCCAGGTGATGAAGCTGCTTCCAACCCCCATGTGCCTAAGGATCCATTTACAGAATATGTTAATAAATGCTAATGGGCCATTTTAAGTGATTGTTATCAGGCTCTGTTTCTGAAGGCGGACTTCCATCGAGGGGGAGCCATCCCCACCCCAGAGGCCGCCCTGCTCATTTGGACATTCGCTCTCTCACACAGACTCTTCAGCCCTGGTGCAGGGTCACTGCTGGTTGAATAGGAGGCTCCAGCAGGTTTAGTCGATATGTAAACGAGAATTTCCTCCCCTCTCCTGGGACTTCTTTTCATATCATTGATAAACACAAATAAACAGCAAAGAAAATAAGCCCAGCAAAAGATGTTTTAAATAATTTTAAAAACCTCCACCTTTTTTCTGTGTCTTGGCATCTGAAAACTTGAGTAATCTATTGAAGCCATGTTTTATTGCTTGTGTACGAAATAATATTCCAAGCCCTTTAATAGGAGAGTAAGGAGTGTTTGTCTGTTCAGAGTGGAGCTGGTGCGGACACCCATTCGGGATTCTGGGGCATGACGGTGGGTGTGTGCCTCTGTGCCCCTGGGCAGCTTGCCCAGTCTGAGTGGAGGGCTTTGGGTGGCCAGAAGCAGAGCTGAAAAAGACAGCGCTGCCATAAAGAAGATAGGAGGCATCCCTGAGTGACCCACACAGAACAGGAGGTCATGCAACATGTCTACTGACCATCTGGATGACCCTGGAGGTGAGGGTGCACAACGGTGGGAGGCTGAGCTGTTGATGCTTGACCAGATGGGACAAGAGGGAGGATGATGGCCTCTGGCTTACAGCACAGCCTCATGGAGTGGAGATTTTGAGGACGGAACGTTTGAAGATCCTGTTAAGATCATCACATTAGTGATGCAGTATCATAACCCCAAGATAAGTAAACAAACAATCTTGTTCATAATATTTATGCTCCTTGTTCCCCATTCTTTGACTTTCTGTTGATTGGTGGCCAAGTATATCCAGTGGAAAGCTTTTAGAAAGTACATTTCCTCAGCTGGGTGCGGTGGCTCACGCCTGTAATCCCAGCACTTTGGGAGGCCGAGGCAGGCAGATCATGAGGTCAGGAGATCGAGACCATCCTGGCTAACACGGTGAAACCCCATCTCTACTAAAAATACAAAAAATTAGCCGGGTGTTGTGGCAGGTGCTTGTAGTCCCAGTTACTTGGGGGGCTGAGGCAGGAGAAAGGCATGAACCCAGGAAGCAGAACTCGCGCCCCTGCACTCCAGCCTGGGTGACAGAGTGAGACTCCGTCTCAAAAAAAAAAAGTAGATTTCCTCATCATTATCATTTTATCTTCTGTAAATATTGTATCATGAGCCATTCAAGCCCAACATCTTATGGGGGGCGGGGTGGGAAAAACAAAAAGAAAAGTGTTTTAATATTTTTGGATGTGCTGAGATCCGTATTTTTTGGTGAGCATGTCCCATGCGGAGTTCAAAGCACTGAGGCATGGTATCCTTTGGGTCTCCCTGGCATGACCCCTGTGGCTGTCCTACAGTGATTCCTGTGTTAAACCCTCACAAATCCCCTGCTGTGTGCAGGTTCAGGCCACAGAAAGCCACTCCTCTTCCCTGTGGGGGTGACATGTGAGCTTTTCCTGGAGACTGGGAGGAGCAGCTGGAGGAACAAGGTGAAGAGGAACCTCCCACTGACCTGGGGATTTGAACCAGAACCTCGTTCCGCCATGCTCTTCCTCCATGGATTTCTCTTTCTAACATTTTCTCTGCCCTAAAGATTTGGCCTGGCATAGCTTGTGAGAGTTGGTCAAACTGGCTCATGCATTTCTTTCTCTTAACAAGGTTTGGAGTTGGAAACAATCCCCTTAATTCAGGGGAGGTGCTCATTACCGAGGTGAGGCTGAGCTACTGGACGCTGGTCACCGTGTTGCAGGGTGTGGCCCTTGTGGTGAAGCCATCAGCCAACTGCTCTCTCTGTGGGATGGTGGTAGAGCTAGAGGGGTTGTCGTCTGCAGCTTTGGACATGGAAATCTGTTTTCATTTTGTTTCTGCTCTGGCAATGGACATCTGGTCTGTAAAGATGGCTGAGTGATGAGAACTCTGGCCTTTCATTTCATTCACTTGTTTAGTAAATATTTGCAATGAGTCAACTGTTGGGAAGGGTCTAGTCAAGGTTCTGGGAGTTTAAATAAAGAAGACATGGTCCTTACCCTCAAAGAGTTCTCCATCCACTGGAAAAAGAAACACAGTGGTTTGATGCTGTGGTCTGGGCCCATGACCGGGCTGGCTGTTTCCAGTGTAGAGATGCGTACCCCGTGCAAAGAATAAACAGCTTACAGGGAGAGGGCAGCTTCAGCAGAGGCACACCTGTGCTCGCGCAAATCTGTGAACTTTTGACTTGTCTAGGATGCGAAGACTTTTCTGATAACTTCGAAACACCCCTGCAAATATGATCAACAGTGCAACTTGCTTATCCAGAAGTAGAACTTGGTTTTAGCCAAAGCATTTGAGCCACAATAAAACATTCAGAAGAGAGAGAGGCTTGCTCATGTCATCAGATTAATGAAGTCTTTCCTACCTTCACAGCCTGAAAAAGATACTGCTTTAGACTGTGGGGGACCTTAGGATACAAACTTTAGACATCAGCTACCACCTTCCACCCCACCACTTGGGAGAGATGGTGCCACCTTCCACCCTGCCACTGGGGAAAGATGGTAAAACCTTCCACCCCGCCACCACAGAAAGATAGTGCCATCTTCCACCCTGCCACTGGGGAAAGATGGTACCACCTTCCAACCTGCCACTGGGGAAAGATGGTGAGCTATCATCAGACTTCAACATTGTAAGAATCTTTCTTAATCAGCAAATGTACCTGTATCTATATTTATCTTCTCCTGAATTTGGGGAGAGGCGAAGAAAGAGATTTCCCCATCTCTATTATGAACTACTCAGAAGGTTCTATACTTATGGGATTTTGTCGGTCAATAGGACATTTTCCTCTGAACCTAACATTTTGTATCATTTTCCATGGGTTTCCTCATTTCTTTTCTTAAAGCTTATATAGAAGAATACACTGAAGTATTCAATTCCACACTGTTTAAGTTTTGGGGAATTTTTCTGTAGACTGACCTGCTGTGATGACTTACAGTTAAAGATTGAGATCTATTTTTGAATTACTCTGTTTGAAGTTTTTTTTAATCATTACATTCCTTAACATCTTAAAGTTTACAGTTAAAAAATTTTTATTTAAACAAAATGCAAATCTGGTATAATGATGGTGAAATTACTTTTAGTGTAATCGTTTAAATAATCGACACCCACTGCAGAACTGACGGAGCTCTAACCGTGGGGGTCGCACCGCATGCAAGACCCCTCGCCACCCTCTTTTCAGGCTCCCCATGGGCCTTGGGATCACACCGGGCACGTTCACCATCAGGCACTGCAGGTTGGCCTCAGGACAAAAATGCATTTTTCATCTGACAAGTCCGACGCATGAATAAACAACTTAAATGCAATTTAAGTACTATGATGAGGTGAGGCATAATTAATTTTAAAATCATAGTTAAGTGTGTGGTCTCCTGGCTCATTTAATGTGAGAAGAACATCACTAAATAGCTTGCTTTGCACGGATGGAACAGCCGCTGTCTTCCAAGTGTTGGTGTGTTGTTTCCTTCTCCCTCCTAGACCAGATTTTTTAAGGTTGCTGTGATTACCTCATAAACTATTTGAAAGCTCCAGTTCACAAAAGCATCTTAGAAGTGCCGGGGCTCTGACTCACTTCTCTTTAGTGTCTTTGAAATTTCTGTAGCTCGAATCACAATGGCTCCTGCTGGTGACAGCTCTCTCTCTCTTCCTCTTGCTCCCTTATCTCATATGACTCCTACTAATGTTGTTTTATGGCACTTTCTTAAATGTAACATTTAGCATGATTTCCTTGTATTTACACTTGAGAAAAATAATAATAAATACTACAATTTTAAGTCATTTTGTGGGAAAAATATAATTGTACTGCAATGATGATTCAATGTCACTCTTGCTTTTCAGTGATGCTTATATGTGACCTTTTTTTATCTCCCTGTGGGAAGTCTCAAATTCTGCAATGCAACTAAGGTAGGAAGATGTTATCTCTTTTTCCTAAGTTTGAAAACTAAGACACAGTCTGATTAAGTGAACAATTGATTTAATTATGTCACATATTATCAAAGAATGAGTACCATTCAAAGATTAAAAATATTTATTGGGTTGAAATTCAGCTCCTCACAATGACTCATGAGTGCCAGACATTACGGTGTCTATTTTATAGGTGAGGAAATGGAGGTTGAGAGGAGTTAAACCACTTAACCGATGCCTGACAACTGGTAAATGGCACCAGGAAGTGATTCCAAGTCTGTCGAATTCCAGGCTGATGCTTGTCACCGCTTACCATTCTAACCTCCAAAATCGATTGGCTAGAGGAGACGCTGCCCCTGTTAGAAATAAAGTGAAGGCTTTGTGTCTTCCTCATTCAGTCTCACCATCAGCTCCAGTGGTCTGCAATCCTGAAAGAACACACAGGTGCCATGACAAACCTTATCAAAGCTGAGACAACTGGGGCTCCAGCCCAGCTCCAGAGCTGTGCCATGGCGGGGTGTCATCTGCCCTCCTGAGCACAGCGTGTGAGGTTTAGAGACTCCCAGCAGGGCTCCACCCACACTGCAGTTGCATTGGCCACAGGAGACCCAGGCCATGCTGGGTTCCATCATTTGTCAGCAGGCATTGAATGATCGAAGTTTTGAAAGTATTATGGGAATTCTTATAGAGGTACAACTTAACTATCATCTTTATAAATGGGTAGGCTTCTAGGTGGGGAAGGGGTTTGGATAGTTGCACTGAGAAGTCAATTGGAAAGGAGCCCATGAGGCATCAGTTAATGGGAAAACCACACTTTGGCAATCATAACTTGGCATAGACAGCAACTTATATCTAAGTGTTTATTAGCATTCAGTGCTCAGCACAGGTGTCTTCAAAAATCCAAACCGGGAACAGCAGCTTCAGTTCTGGTGCTTCCAGGTTCTAAAGGCCACAACGTGAGCACATGCTGTCCAGACATTTCCAGCTCTGTTGCTGAAGTGTGAAGAAAGTGCCCAGCCCATGTCTAGATCTGATGGAACTCGTTAGCCTAGGAGCCACAGTCCCTTGAGGCAAGGATGGTGGCTGAGTCATCTTATTATCCCTGGAGTGCATTTTGTACTTATGCTTGTAATATATGTTTAAATAACCACACCCAACTTCAATTTTTATCCCCTGATCTTTTAGTAAAGGCGGTATTGCACCGAAGTGCTCTGGTTCACACTTTATAAAAAGAACTTGCTCTTTTGAGCATGAATTTCCTCACCTGAAAATTGAGTATATTAACAGAATCTGCCTCCTAGGGTTCTTGTGAAATTAAAAGAGATAAAGTGATAGTATCATACATGAGATACATTCATTAGAAGTTTGGAATTCTTTATTTTTAGCAACAATTCCTCTCATCACATCCTCATACACGCTTTCACTTGATGTCAACATGCGAAGTTTGGTGTCTTGGAATGGCCATTCCCTAGGCAGCCCCATCTGCCTTTTAGTTTGAACTTCATAATTGAACACATTTTTATTATTTCAGAAATCACAGCAGGGCTAACATTTATTGAGAATTTACCGGAAGCCTGGCACCATGTTGTGTACATAGCATTGTGAGATTTAACATACATGAATATCATATTATGCAAATAGTGTTTTCATTTACAAATAAGAAAGTGGTGACTAAGAGGGGTAAGTGCCGTCCTAACATGACTCAAGGGCCCCATATGTCCTGGCTCTAGAGCAGGTGTCCCCAATCCCTGGGTCATAGACTGGTACCCATCCATGGGCTGTTAGGAACTGGGCCATACACAGGAGGTGAGCAGTGGGTGAGCAAGTTTTACCACCTGAGCTCCGCCTCCTGTCAGTTCAGCGGTGGGATTAGATTCTCATAGGAGTGCAAACCCTACTGTGAACTGTGCATGGCAGGGATCTAGGTTGCATGCTCCTTCTGAGAATCTAATGTCTGATGATCTGAGGTGGATGGAACATTTTCATCCCAAAAGCATCCTCCACTCCGCAGCCCCTGTCCCTACCCTAGTCTGTGGAAAAATTATCTTCCACAAAACTGGTCCCTGGTGCCAAAAAGATTGGGGACTACTGTGCACCCTTCCAGTTTAGTTCTTCACCTCTTCTCCCTTCATACTTGTTTTATGCTGAATGTCTGATCCTTGAAGTATACCTTTCCCTTCTTGAAAGCTTGCTGAACTTAGCACTAATAGTGTGTATGCATGTATGCAACTCCCTGGTGCTTTCAATATATGACATCACATCACCTGCAGCTAGAGGTAGTTGTACGTCTTCCTTTCCAGTCTGAATGCCTTTTGTTTCTTTCCCTGGCCTAATTGCCAGGACTGTAATCTCCAGAACAATGTTAGATAGAAGTGGTCGCATGTATATCCTTGTCTTGTTTCTGATCTTGGAGGGAAAGCTTAGTTTTTACCATTAAGTAATAAGTTAGCTGCGGGTTTTTCATAGGTGACCTTTATCAGGTTGAGGAAGTTCCCCATGATTCCTAGTTTATTGAATTTTTTTTTACTATGAAAGTATGTTGGATTTGTAAAATGTGTTTTCTGCATCTATTAAGATCTATTAAAAGCTTTGTCTGTATCTATCATGTGCTCTGTCCTTTAATCTATTAATATGGTGCATTACATGGCTGATTTTTGTATGTTGAACCAACCTTGCATTACTGGGATAAATTCCATTTGGTCATGGGCATAATCTTTTTTTTTCTATGTTGCTGGATTCAGTTTAGCCATATATATATTTTTGATAATCCATTTATATTCATCATGGGCACTGGTTTGTAGTTATCCTTTCTCGTAATGTCTTTATCTGCTTTTAGAATCAGGGTAATACTGGACTTACAGAATGGGTTGAAATTTTCCACTCCTTGTTTTACTGTAGGACTTTTATAGTGGAGAGCACACTTTTAATGATTAGCAGGTACATAGAATGGAAATAAATATTTTATTCCTCACAGGTCCTGAGGGGTGCGTGGCATACCTGGAGACCCCACAAATGGGGTCAGGGAGTGCAGGCAGGGGAAGTGTGAATCTGGGGCCCTTGCCTTTAGTGAGGTTCAAGGTGGAGAACTTAGGCATTTGGGAGGCAGGGTAGCAATTGGACAGTTCAAAGCAAACAACTGTGGAAATCCTTTCCCATGAGGAGGTGTTATCTTGAGGTCCTGCTGGCTCTGAGGCTGTGTGTGGGTGTTGGGTGAGGGGTATCTTGCCTCAGCCACAGAAGTGAAAATGAGAACCTGTTATTTGAGCTAGATAGCAAAAACCAAAATGGCTAAAACCAAGTTAACATAAAATTGTAAGAGTTCATTACACTTGTCTCTCTCTCTCTCTCTCCATAAAGAATTAGTGTTAATTCTTCTTTAAATATTTAGTAGATTCTACCAGTAAGCCATCTGGCTTTGGGCTTTTCTCTGTGGAGAAGTTTTTAGTTAGTTTTATTTTTTATTTTTTAAAATTATCACTATGAGTTCAATAACTTTACTTATTGTTATAGGTCTATTTAGATTTTTAATTCCTTCTGGAATCATATTTTCAATTTCTTCTAGAGTACTTCATATCTTTCTAGGAATTTTTCGATTTCATACAGGCTTTTTTTTGGCATGCAATTGTTTATAGTATTCCCTTATAATCCTTTTTATTTCTGTAAGGTAGACAGTAATGTCCCCTCTTTTATTACTGATTTTAGTAATTTAGGTCTTCTCTCTTTTTTTTCTTTGCCAGTCTTGCTTAAGTTTTGTCAGTTTGATTGATCTTTGAAAGAATTTTCATAATTTAAAAATTTTCTCTGTTGTTTTTCTGTTCTCTAGTTCATTTTCACTACTATTTTTATTATTCTTTCTGTTTACTTTGAGTTTATTTTCTTCTTCTTTTATTAGGTTCTTAATACAAAAGATAAAGTTGTTGATTTCAGTTTTCTTTAAAAGTACACACTTATATTGTCGAATAGAAATTAAAGAGATTACAGATGTCCTAGAGATGGAGATATGAAAAATAAAAAAAAAGTACACACTTATAGCTTTAAATTTCGAATCACTGCTTTCACTGCAGTCAATAATATTCATATGTTGTATTTTCATTTTCATTCACTTCACAGTATTTTCTAATTTTTCATTGTGATTTCTCCTTTGACCCATTGTTATTTGGGGGTCTATTGTTTAATTTCCTTCTAGTATAAATTTCCCACATATTTTTGATTTCTAATTTTATTCCATTGTACTTAGATAATATACTTTGTAGGATTTCAGACCTTTTAAATTGACTGAGACTTGCTTAATGGTTGAACATGACCTATCCTGGAAAGTGCCCCAAGTGTGCTTGAAAGGAATGAGTATTCCGCTCTTGTGGGTGGAGTGTTACATATATGTCTGTTAGGTCTAATTAGTTTATAGTGTTGTTCAAGTCCTCTATTTCCTTATTGATCTTCTGTCTAGTTATAGCTGTTATTGAAAGTTAGGCTGAAGTCTCCAATTATTAATGTAAAATTTTCTGTCTCTCCCTCCAATTCTGTCAGTTTTACTTCATATATCCTGGGGCTCTGTTGTTAGGTGCATATATGTTTACAAATGTTATACTTTTTTTTGTGTGTGTTTTTAGTAGAGATGGGATGTTACCATGTTTGCCAGGCTGGTCTCAAACTCCTGACCTCAGGTGATCCACCCACCTTGGCCTCCCAAAGTGCTGGGATTACAGGCATGAGCCACCATGCCTGGCCAAATGTTATACTTTTTTATGAACTGACTCTTTTATAATTACAGAATATCCTTTTTTATTCTAGTGACAACATTTGTTTGAGAGTCTATTTTGTGTGATATTTATGGAGTCACCCCAGCTCTTTTATTTATGGTTATTCTTTGCAAGCAACATTTATTTTTATCCTTTTACTTTCAACTTATTTGTGTCTTTGAATCTAAAGTGTGTCTTCTGTAGACAGTATGTGGTTGGATCTTTCTTTTTTTTTTTTTTTGAGAAGGAGTCTCACTCCGTCGCCCAGGCTGGAGTGCAGTGGCACCATCTTGGCTCACTGCAAGCTCTGCCTCCCAGGTTCATGCCATTCTCCTGCCTCAGCCTCCCAAGTAGCTGGGACTACAGGTGCCCACCACCACACCTGTTTAATTTTTTTGTATTTTTGTAGAGACGGGGTTTCACTGTGTTAGCCAGGATGGTCTCGATCTCCTGACCTCGTGATCCGCCCACCTCGGCCTCCCAAAGTGCTGGGATTACAGGCGTGAACCACCGCGCCTGGCCTCTTTTTAAAATCCATTCTGCCAAACTGCCTTTAATTAGAGTGCTTTGTCTATTTACATTTAATTCAGTTACTGACAAGTTTAGCTCTATGTATGTCATTTTAATATTTGTTTCTATATGTTTAATCTAGTTTGGGTTAATATTTGTTTACTATTGAAATTGAGCTTGTACTAACCTAAACTACATTTTCATTAGCTAAGATACTAATTAAAGTCCCTAGGGCAACCAATAAGAAAATAACTTTAAAAAGGAAAAGAAAAGGTGAAGGAATTATAACGATACACAGACATATCTATTCAACCTCAAAGAAGGCAGTAAAGTAGAAACACAGAAACAAAAATGACATTGAATATATAATACTAATTTACTTTCAATAGTGTACAGAAACTGTGCTTTCATATAGCTCCACGCCCTCTCCATTCCTTTGTGTGGTTATCATCATATAAATTACACATTTATATATTGTGTGCCCATTAACATATATTTCTAAGTATTGCTTTATGCAGTTATCCTTTAAATCAGACAGGGGAGGAGAAGTGTCGCAAAGAGAAACCAAATGGACACTTGCAGTGGAGAAGGCTTTTCATACTGGATGGGCTGTGAGTCGGGTCAGACGAAGACAGCCTTGCAAATGGGGTCCTTCTGGGACCCAACAGGCAGGTTGAGTACTCGGGATTCTCTGGGAATCTGCCCCTCCCATGCCTGCCCGATTGCCGGGTTTCACCATGACTGCTGGATTCTGACTTTCAGGTGTGCTGCACAGCTGGAAAGGAAGGGTGGGAGGAAGCCACGTTAAAATTCCAGTGTGCTCACTGTTCTTACAGTCATGTTCTTTTCAGTCATTTTTCCTGGAAAAAAAAAAAAAAGATCCCTGGATTGCTGCAAATTTTTGGTTAATTCCCTGAGTTCTGAAAATGCTGATCATTTTGCCACTTTTTCATTGCTTTAATGCATGACAGGATTTTCAGACGTCCTTATTTTGCCCTTTTACCTGGCATCATGAGTTTGTGAGGCGTTGGTGTGGCTGACTTCTTGCCTACCTCCAGTAGGGAGCACAGAACCCGGCCTGCACTGAGATGTCATGGCCATCAGCTCAGGGATGGGCAGTGGCCCCGTCTAAGCTAGCAGGAGTCAGCTGGCCTCTGTTAAAACTGTTGGGGCACAGGCTGTTAAACTGATAAAATTTCAGCTTCCATGGGATGGGAGACTCTGCCTGAGGAGGTAGACAGTGCAAAGAAGGCAGAGATCAGCTCTGCAGAGTGACGTCATTGCCACAGCTCCGTCCTCTGATCCAATGGTGCCTGTCCTTTCAGTAGAATGGATGGAAATTCTTGTAGCGCCCAGCTATAGTTTGTGACTGCTCATGTAGAGTGATAGTGTGCAGATATATGTTTATCTGTGGCTTCATGGTATGGTCTTATTGAAGCTCAAATCGGTGTTGCTTTCCCAATACCCGGCCCACAAATCAGAAGTGATGTTGACCATCCTTACAGGTCCTGGAACTGGCCTGGCTCAGGTTCCCACCAGCGAGCTCAAGCTGACATCTCTGTTTTCTCATTTTCACCTCCTGCACACCCAGTTTATGTTAACACAGATTGGGCGGGAACCCTTGTGTGTCTGCATCCAAGTCTGCAGTGCCTATTTATCACTTCGGTGGCAAATGACAGCAACATTAGCATCTTCATTAACTAATATTCACACAGTTTGGGACTTTGGGCTCTGATTGCCCGAAAGACGAATGCTTTTCTTAACTTCAGATGTCCACAAACACGAGGTGAGGCCCAAACACAAGCTATTCTGTTCTAACTAAACTTTACAGCAAGAGCAACAGACATGCATTGCTGCACTCCCACCATAAGGGGAATTTTTACTGAGCTAGAACAGCTTTGGTGAAAATGATAACTTAAATAATTCCTTATAACAACCACAGATGTGTAACCCTTTGGATTATCCTCCTAGTCTTTCCTCCTTAATGCTTTCTTATTTATTTATTTTCATGTTGGCTTGTTACTTTTATTACCTGACCACGCTGTGTGGCCTGTTGTATAAAGCAGTTGAAAGACTCTAATTTTAAAATGAATGGCTAGGAGAATGGGTTCTGTGTTCCCTTACTTTTAAGTAAGGTCTGATTATTCAGACTGACTGCACCACCAACATCCTTGTGAATGGAGCTCTTTTGTATAACTTTTATGATACCTCCTGCCAGGGAAGGTCAGGTTTTAGTGTAATGCGATACCCTATGTTAAAAGGCCCAAATTAACAAATTCCTGAAAGCAAAGCAAGGAATACATTTTAAAATGGTTTTTTTGGGCACGAAGAGGCGGTACATAAGTCAGCAAAGGATAGGCGTGTGTGTTCCAAACCTCACTGCAAATTTACCACCAATGTCTTCAGAAATGCTGGGCAGTGAAGGCAAAACCTACTGCAGATATTTTATAGGTATCGACGACTCTCTGCACATTCATGTTCAGTGAACGCTGCAGGAGGGTGTTTGCCGAAAGCTGTCTTCACATTGAAGAGTGAGCTTTGTTCCCCACAATCAACCTTCAGATGACTCTTCATGAGAGCCTCATAGATTCTTTTGGAATCTTTCTGACAGAACATTGCTACCCGGAGAAAATCCCTCAGTATTAGATTTTGCTCATATTAAAGAGAAATGGTGGTGTGTGTGGCTCTGGTGGGTGCACAGGGATGTGACTGCCAGCCTTGTGAGGCGTCCCTCATTCTCCAGCTTGCTCTGCCTTGCATCTGACAAGCGTGGGGCTTGGCAGGCAGTGGTGACAGGTGACAACACATGACACCCAGTGCCTGGGACCACTCTTTACTCCCTCAGAGAAGCTCCCTGAAAAATCCCCCAAGTACAGTGCAAAGTCTTCCCGAAATTCTTCTTGAGGAGAGTATGCATGCTTCACCCTCTGAGATGAAAAGATGCGGGTCTCAGGCCAAGACAAGGTGCCCAACAGGCAGGTGATGCAGCTCTCTGAGAGCCCTCAGGGAGGCTCTCGGACATGGATGTGTAGTCGGCTTCACTCACGCTCCTGTGACCGTTTCTCTTCGTTTAAGAACCAGAACAGAGTCACTAAAATCCACGTCACTCTGATATTTGATCCCTGGCCTCCAGGGTCAAGTACCCCTGACTGGGTGGCTGGGGCCCCAGCCCTCACAGGTGGTCTTCACGCTGGTCCAGGCCATCGATCAAGTCCAAGCGGAGGGAAGAATGAGGGAAGACGCCACAGCAGTGGGCCCCAACTGGACGGCTGGTCTCTGCAGCGGTCACCTTTCTAAGTTGCAGCCTGTCTTTCTTGTGCTTCGATGGGAACACAAGTCCCTTGCTAGTCCCAGCAACATGTGGCTTGGCTCCTGCTTACAGATGGGGTGCGGCACCCCCTTCCTTCTGCACACACCTCATGTGCCTATCACAGGGAAGGATCTCGAGCTCCAGATTTCTGTACCCTTGTCATATGTTCATCACAGGGTCGGACCTCAGGCTATAGTGTTCTGTGTATATCCCCTGTGCTCACCCCATGTGTCCATCACAGGGACGGATCTCAAGATGCAGCTACTTGTCCTTCATGTGAGGAAGACTGAGCATGATTTCAGGGTCTGTGATCCGGCGTCCAGTGTGTGTGCAGGGACAGGGCTCCGTGAGGTTATCTGAGTGCCAGGGGAGCAGAGTGTGACTTCAGGCTCTTTGATTCAGTGTCCAGTGGGTGTGCAGGGACACGGCTTCATGCGGTGTCTGAGTGTGGGGGGAGCAGAGTGTGCTCTAGAAGGGCAACTCCTCCTTGCTGGGCCCAGTGCATGTCAGAGCCCGAGGAAGAAATGTAAGGTGGAAAGTTCAGCAACTTCTCTGAAGTGGAAAGTTCAGCATCTTCTCTGAAAACTGGAGAAATTCCTGGAGCTTTGGGTTCCGCGTGAGAATATCCTCCTGGGGACGTCAGTAGCCATTCCTAAGATGTTCATCACTCCTGTTGGTTTTTGTTATTTAGTTGATTATTCTTAGCTTTGCTAAAGAATTGGATGATTTGGTTGGCAGCAGAACATGGAGTCATTTTGTTTCTCACCACGGGACAAGTAACATTGACAACCGCCCCCAGTCGTTGTGAGTCATAATTAGAAATTAGAGCCGCACCAGACTGTTTGCCACAGCTGTGAACTCTGGTGGAAGATGCCGCGAACACTTCAAAGCTCTGTCAGTTACTGAACTCACTATAGATATTTTTTTTTGGTGTTGGGGGGGCGGGCGGTGGATAGGCTTACTTTTGCCCACTGTACAAGAAATCCAAAAAGAATTTGTGGATTTTGAGATAGTTCTCAAAGTATTTAAGAACTGCCTTCATTTTTATGGGAAAAATATCTCATTTACTTTTTCTTGAAATCTTTGCTTTTCAGCTTTAGTCACACGTTGTTTTCTATCATGAAAGCTAAAGGCTTTTACTAAATCAGTGAATGGCACGGAAGGGTGAAGATGAAATTTTGAACCAGGCCACAGGTGTCTCTAGTGTTTGTAATTATGCGTCCTGCACACAAGCCTGTACCTGGAACACACTGGGTTTGCCAACATCAAGCTGGTGGCGGGGCTGATTGCAGCATTGCCAAGTACATTCTGCCTGTGTATGAAATGTGTCAAAACAATGCCGGGGCCTGTGCGGATATCTGGATCATGAATATTCGGATCTTCCCATAAGTGTCTGTTGTTTTATAAACGGCATTTGGGTGGAAGTTTAGTTCCTTGTGGGTTGTAAAATTACAGGTTTAGTAAAAGTTTTAGGTTATTTTTCTCTAAGAATTATGAGACTGTACACACAGCTTTATAAAACATGATACATTTTAAACGTTTATTTGAAAACTCTCTGAATTATATAAAAATAGCTATTTTGGGGCCTGATTTAGATAATTACTAAGTCGTGAATAAATCTGCACAACTGGCATGTATTTAGAAGCAGCTTGAAAAGGATAGTGGAAAGAACACATTCCCAGGTTACTCCTGGCCTGAGGTCCTGTGAGCACCTGCCTTTCTGTGGAGCACTCAGGGGTCCTGTGCTGTTTACCTGGGACCCGGGAACCTGGTGCCTGCAGGCTCCTCTGACCAGCCCATGTGTGCTGGCTCTGTCCTTTCTCTGAGCACAACCCGTGAGCGCTTTTTCTGTCAGACTCCTCATCAACATTCTACCCTGCAAAGCTTTATCTTTTCTTTTATCTTTCTTTCTTCCTCTTCTCTTTTCTTTTCCTTCCTTCCTTCCTTCCTTCCTTTCTTCCTTCCTTCCCTCCCTCCCTCCTCTCTCTCTCTCTTTCTTTCTTTTTCTTTCTTCTTTCTTTCTTCTTTCCTTCTTTCTTTTTCTTTCTTTCTTCTTTCCTTTTTTCTCTTTCCTTCCTTCTTTCCTTTTTCCTTCCTTCCTTCCTTCTCTCTCTTTCTCTCTCTCTCTTCCTCCCTCCCTCCCTCCCTTCCTTCCTTCTCCTTTTTTTTTTTTGTAGCAAGGAGCAACCTCTCCTGGAATGCTGGGAACTTTCTGATTCTCCACGGCATTCATAGATGGGCACAATTATTCCCACATATTTGGGCACATTCGTTGCCACTTTCCAAAGTTTGCAGAGGAATGTGGAAAACCTTTGGGCTGTCAGTACAAAGATGCTCCTGTCCTAAACTTAATAAAGGTATCCCAGGAAAATGTGCTACTTAGCAGGAGGAAAGAGACAAACTTTCATCTTATGGACCATAGAGCAAAGGTGATTTGGATTCAGCAGAGAAGAATAAGAACAATAGTCACCAATAAACAGAGTTTATGGCTGGGTTGAAGGACAGCTGCCCACTTCCGCTACCGGCCCACCTGCAACTCATGTAAAATATTGAGCACTCCGGAATTCCCTTTCTTTATCATGAAAACCAGCACAGGAATCCTCATTATGGCCTGTGCTCAGCTCCAAACACTCACGCTCTGGGGAGCTGACATTATTATCCCACTGTGCAGATGGACAAACTGGGGTTTGCAGGGGTCGAGTGACTGGCTGAAAGCAACGCAGCTGGTGGCAGAAAAACTCGACTCACGCCCAGGCTTTTGTGGGTGTCCTTCCCTCCCCACAGCAGTGGAGTCCCTCAGCCACCCTTGGTGTGGGCAGTTGGCGGCTCCCATCTCAGGAGGGGTCAGTGGTCACTCTTTCTGAAGGGGACAGCAGGTCACTTCATTCCTCCTAAGCTTGGGGTAGGGCTGAAAGCATGGGCTTCCTCCTGACCTAAGAGGGTTCAAACGTTGAGACTTTATTATTTTTAAATCTCTATAGAAGCAGAAATGATTTCTTCATTAGAGATAACCCTGTGCTGTGGGTAGAACTGTGCCCCTCCATAAAGGTGTGTTGAGTCCTTACCCCACAGATGTGAAGGTGACAGGATTTGGGAACGGGGTTGTAGCTAGGTCAGGCTGGTCTACGGTGGACCCTGACCCCGATGACTGAGGTTCTTATAAGAGGAGATGACTCAGAGTCACTGTCTCACCCTCCCCATCCTTGGTATTATGACTGCTGCCCACTCCCAAGTCACTGATTGTCAAAGAGGACAGACGGCCGAGGAGCCCCTGCTCAGAACATGAGGTGACAGGGAGGCTCAGAGAGGACAGGGAGGCTCAGAGAGGATGCCATCTGCTCATTGCGGCCTCTGCCCACACCTGCTCAGAACACGAGGAGACAGGGAGGCTCAGAGAGGAGGCCGTCTGCTCACTGTGGCCTCTGCCCACGCCTGCTCAGCACACGAGGCGAAAGGGAGGCTCAGAGAGGAGGCTACCTGCTCACCGCGGCCTCTGCCCACACCTGCTCAGAACGGGAGGAGACAGGGAGGCTCAGAGAAGACGCCGTCTGCTCGCCATGGCCTCTGCCCACACCTGCTCAGAACACGAGGCGAAAGGGAGGCTCAGAGAGGACAGGGAGGCTCAGAGAGGATGCTGTCTGCTCGCCGCGGTCTCTGCCCACACCTGCTCAGAACATGAGGAGACAGGGAGGCTCAGAGAGGACTCAGTCTGCTCGCCGCAGCCTCTGCCCACAGGTGTGCTGCCCACTGCAGGAGTTTGCAAGTCCCGGCTGAGGAGCCCGGGGCGCCCTGGTGTGGCTACAGGGGCAACTGCTGCTTTGGGGGTCTCTGGGGGCCTCCCCGATGCCAGAGTGACTTTAGGAGGGCCCCAGGGAATTGTGAGAACCTGAGGGGACCTCAGGAGACATAGCAATCCAAGGCGCTGGCTTGTGCGTCCCACCATGCTCCACAGTGCAGAGGCAGAGGGGGGAGCCCCAGCCCTGGACAGAGGGAGCAGCTGTGCCAACAAAGCCTCTCGCTCCACCCAGAGCCAAGGCCAGGCTGTCGGCTGTGTCTGGCAGCTGAGATGGGCGCCTGGCCCTGCCTCCCCTCCTGCGTGAGTCTTCCAGGGCCCTCTGGGTGGTCCCACCCGTGGCAGGTGACAAGGCTGGATGAGAAATGCTCGCTGGGGATTTGACGGTGGAAACTTCCATTGCCACTGTTTTTTCTTCCCTTTGGTGTTTGTTTATTTTCATAAATGTTTCTCCTAAGGAAGAAAAATAGATAGAAAAGGCGGGAGGGTGTGGGGATGGGGCGTGAGGGAGCTGGGTTGAAGTGGACTTGTAGGTTGGCCAGAAACGTCGGGAACCGAGAAGTTCTGGGGTCAGCGTCGGGCTGCTGAGCTCTAAATTGTGCGTGTGCGAGCAGAAGCGTAAGTCAACAGCAGCTCAGGAGCACGAGGCTGGAGAGAGAAAACCCCACAGGCCTCAGGAGCACGAGGCTGGAGAGAGGAAACCCCACAGGCCTCAGGAGCACGAGGCTGGAGAGAGGAAACCCCACAGGCCTCAGGAGCACGGGGCTGGAGAGAGGAAACCCCACAGGCCTCAGGAGCACGGGGCTGGAGAGAGAAAACCCCACAGGCTTCAGGAACCCGATGCTGGAGAGAGAAAACCCCATGGGCCTGCAGGGACTACCCCCAAGGTCAGGAGCACGAGGCTGGAGAGAGGAAACCCCACAGGCCTCAGGAGCATGAGGCTGGAGAGAGGAAACCCCACAGGCCTGCAGGGAGTTCCCCCATGGTCTGGGAGCTGAACGTGCTCCACCCCTGACTGGCCCAGGAGGCCTGGGAGGATCCTGGGTGGCCTCATCCTCTCTCTTTTGATGAAAATGTAGGTTCTGTCTTCTGTTTGTGCCATGCCATCATTCAGAGGAGCTTTCGAAAGCAGTGGGAGCAGACTCCACTGGTTCGAGCCTGGGCTGAGAGCCACCGCCGGACAGAGCCTCCTGTGCGGAAAGTCCTTCGCGAGGATGATCCTTCTAGTGTCAGATTGGCTTCTCCTTCCAGCTGCCAAGACAAGAAGTCCTGCATTTGGAGAAAACCTGACCTTGGCGGAGTCAAGGACACTGTCAGAGGACGCCAGATGCTTCAAGGGTCCGTGGCCAGCTCTCAGGCGAAGCTTGCACAGGCCAGGCCGCCCCCATTGCTTTCGAAAGTGCCTCTGAATAATGTGACACCAATGGAAGACAGCGTCTGTGATTGAGGGGAGCCTTAAGGGCCTTGTCCTTTGCCCTGAAGTCAGTGGAGTGAGTGGAAGCTAAGGGGGCAGCTCCAGAAGCTTCCACCCCTTTCGGGAAGCCCACACCATCTCCCGCTAGGTTGTCTGGACTGAGAGCTGTCCCTGGGCCCCTGCATCCTTTCTGACAGCATCATTGAAGACAGTTCGGGGTTTGGGCTGACCTCTGCACCTTGGCTAGAAGCATCTTTGTGCCTGCAGTCTCTCTGGCACACCCCGGCCGCTTTGCTGAGGGTGGGGCGGGCTTCGAAACGCAGCCGGGAGCTGATGGGCAGAGTGAGAGGCGTCGGGCACCCAGCCACCTGGGGCGCCGCGGTACTCAGTCTGTGCGCGTCAGCAACGGAAGAGCCTTCCAAGCCACAGCCTTGCCTCTTTCCAGCCCTGAGTTCCCATTCCAGCTGCCATTGCTTTGCTGAAAATAACACATTTAATCATCTGTCATAATTACAAGAGTCCGGATGACACGGATGCAGGCCCACCTCCCCGCTGCCAAGCCTGCTGTAATCCAGCCAGCATGGGCCGTGCTGCCCAAGTCGCACTGCGGGCCCTGGTCTGCTGAAAGATCAGATGTGACCGCAGAGTTGTTCATCGCAAATGATTGATCTGCTTGCAACAAAACTAATAATTACACAGCTCTTCATTTCCATTTGTCTTTGGAAGGTGGAATCTCTCTCCCCTTGAAGGGCTCTGCCATGCAGGCATACATTGGTGAACCGTGAGCCTGCTGAGCCCGCTGAGCCCGACAGGTGCAGCCCGCGCCCTTCCTCCTTGGATTTTTGGCGTTGCAGGTTATTCCCCAAAAATAATCAAATGGTAACATGTTGCTTTCATTTTCATTGTATTCCCCAAAGTCGATCAAACGGTAATGTGTTGCTTTCATTTCCACTGTGTTTGGTTTTAGCTTATTGCTTTAATCCCTTCACTTTCAGGACATCTTCATGTGTTAAATTCCTGCCCTTATCCTCATTTGCATATGTCAGTTTCTTCTATTCGTTCTCAACTATTAAGCCTACCTTAGGTTATGATTTTATTACAGGATAACCAACAACTATGTCCAAACTAGAGCATTTATTTGACTATTAGATGTTTATTTTTATTTTTACGTATTTATTTTTTTGAGACAGAATCTCGCTCTGTTGCCTAGGCTGGAGTGCAATGGTGAGATCTTGGCTCACTGCCACCTCTGCCTCCCAGGTTCAAGTGATTCTCCTGCCTCTGCCTCCGAGTAGCTGGGATTACAGGCACCCACCACCACGCCTGGCTAATTTTTGTATTTTTAGTAGAGACTGGGTTTCGCCATGTTGGCCAGGCTGGTCTCGAACTCCTGACCTCAAGTGATTCTCCTGCCTTGGCCTCCCAAAGTGCTGGGATTACAGGTGTGAACCACCATGCCCAGCCTTGACTATTAGATGTATCTAATCACTGCCCAGTGAGTTTTTCTTCACTCCCTTCCCCTTAGTTTTGATGTCTCAAAATGTTGGTGCATCAGAAATGAAATTTAAAAGCCTCACTCCTTATCAAGAAGAAAACCTCTTTTAGCAAAGGTTTTTCATTTCTAAGACTAAGATTATTATTGTTTAGTCCATGATCTGAAAAGGATTTTATTACCTAAAAGAAGGCTGAAAGAGGAGTGCTGTGGCCTGGTGCTGGGATTTGGCCTGTCCCTGGGCAGGGGGCGCTAGACACAAACGCACCTCAGTTTCTCCTCTAAGGACAGCTGGGTCGGTGAGTCCACCCCAAGCTCTCCCTTCTGCCTCTGACACTCGGCAGTCCTTCGCTAGATTCCAGAACAACTATAGACTGGTAGGTGGTTCTCTGGCTCCAGCCCAGTGGCCCCTAGTGTGCAAGTCTCCTGAGGATTTGCCATAACATCCCACAGACCAGGCAGCATAAACAACAGAAGCTAACTTTCTCAGCTCTCCATGCAGAAGTCCAAGATCAAGGCGTGGGCAGGGTGGCTCCTCCCGAGGCCTCTCTCCTGGGCTTTCAGACGTCTCTCCCTCCCTGGTTCATCTCTCGGCTGTCCTCTGTGTCCGTGTCCTCCTCTCCTCTTCTCGTGAGGACAGGAGTCCTGTAGGGTTAGCGTCCTAAAGATTTCGTATCAACCTGGTTGTTTGCAAAGATCGCATTTCTGGATACTGCATGTGCGCCCGTACTTACGGGGGTCAGGACTTCAGCATCTTCGGGGGGACACAGTCCAGCCTGTGACACCTTCTTGTTGGGTTGTCGGGAGTTTGAGGACCTTTATGAAACCAGCACTTGGCTCTTCCCCAGAATCCACAATTCTAACCCTTACTTTCTTCGAGCCAACATGGCCCCAGGATTTTAGTGTGATCTGAGAGGTGCTGGTGCTGACATCAGTACCCCCACGTGTTCTTCTGCGCCTGACTGTGGGGCAGGTGGTTCTCATCGCGTCCAAGCCCGTCGGCTCAGCTCAGGTAACCTGGCTGCCAGGGAGTGTGCTGCACCTGATTTACAGCCGGTTCTCGACACATCTTGCAGCCCTCACTGTTGTTTTAGGACTAAGTCAGATATTCGCCCTCCAGATGGAGACCCCGGGGGCCCTTCATCTGCAGGCTAGAGTGCCCTCGATTCTGCCTCTGTTCCTGCTCCCACTCAGCTCCATGGTCCTGGGGCCTCCTTTTCTGGGGAATCCGTCCAGTTGGAAGTAACAGCTGCTTTCTCCTCCCTCAGCACTTGGCTCCATCTACCCTGGCTTCCTCCAGGTGGGACTGGCCTCTTGTACAGAACCCAGCAATGCAGGCAGCCAGGAGGAGGGGCCAGGCAGGCGCCGGCAGAGGTGAGGAGAATCCACAACGGGGCTCTTGCCTGAGCCAATGCTGGCCTTGGAGTCCTGGGGACCCCTGGGTGTTGAATGCCTCCTGGGGTGTGCATCAAGGAAGGGCTTTGCTGGCCAGGACCAACCTCAGAAGATTTCATGTTGAAGGAAGAGTCAAGCAACTTCCTGAAAGAGAACCCCTTGGCAAACTAGGGAGGAAGGAAAGGAGGAGAACGGGCTCAGAGACAGAGACAGGGCTGAGCACGGAGGGAAGGAGAATGGGTTCGGAGAAAGCTGAGCAGGGAGGAAGCAGGGGTGGTGGTTCTCCCAGGGGAGGCTTTGCAAGTGGAAGGACGGGGGTGGCCACTGGGTGATCATTTGGCAACTTCTCTCACAGGGGTAGCTTCCTGACACAGCTGAGTGCTTCTGTGATTTGAGAGGATACCAGAGTTTTGTATCTGAAAATATTTATGCTCATCATTATGCATAGGTTTTAATTATTGGGCAATTTTCATAAAACCCTTTCATGTGCAAAAAATTAATTAGCAACTATTTTTAAATGAGAAGTGTCACCCCCTCCCTGCCCCCACTCAGGCTACTTGGCCCCTTCTAAATTAAATACTAGAACTTAGAACTGCACAGAGAAAATAAATCTAATTTAGATATGAAGTATGAGTTACATACTGAAGGGGAACAGAGCCAGGCTCTGGGACAGCAGCTCAATACGTCCACTGAGCACCAGCTGTATATGCTATGGCTTTCTGCATGTTCCTTAGAATTTACCAAGCACTTTCTCATGGGTTATTTCAAGTTGGGAGTTGTTATCCCCACTTACACAGGGATGAAAAGGCTCTGGGAGGTGGAAAGAATGACCAATTCATACCAGGCATGTAGGGGAGTCAGGACTGCATCATTAGACCATTAGACCTGTAGATGGTAAACCCTTAGACGTTAGACCATTAGGCATTAGACCATTACACATTAGACTTCAGACGCTTAGATGTTAGATGTTATTAATAGATCATTAGACTTTAGACTGTCAGACATTAAACCCTTAGACATTAGACCATTAGGTGTTAGACGGTTAGATGTTAGACCATTAGACTGATATTACACCTTAGACATTAGATCATTAGAAGTTAGACCTTTAGACTTTAAATCCTTTGACGTTAGACTGTTAGATGTTAAACTGTTAGACCGTTAGATGTTAGACTGTTAAACATTAGACTGTTTGACCCTTAGACCATTAGATGTTTGACTGTTAGACCTTAGACCATTAGACGTTAGACTCTTAGATGTTAAACCCTTAGACGTTAGACGGGTAGACGTTAGATGTTAGATGTTAGACCATCAGACGTTAGACCATTCATTAGACCATCAGATGTTAGACTCTTAGATGTTAAACCCTTAGTCATTAGATGGGTAGACGTTAGATGTTAGATGTTAGACCATCAGACATGACTGTTCATTAGACCATCAGACATGAGACTGTTCATTAGACTATCAGACGTTAGACCGTTCATTAGACCATCAGATGTTAGACTCTTAGATGTTAAACTCTTAGATGTTAGACAGGTAGAAGTTAGATGTTAGACCTTAGACCATCAGACGTTAGATGCTTACATGTTAAACCCTTAGTCATTAGACGGGTAGACGTTAGATGTTAGATGTTAGACCATCAGACATGAGATTATTCATTATACCATCAGACGTTAGACCATTCATTAGACCATCAGACATGAAACTGTTCATTAGACCATCAGATGTGAGACCGTTCATTAGACCATCAGATGTTAGACCGGCCACATTCCCCATGTATGTCATCACATCTAGCAGCTGGGCCACCTGAAGCAGAGAATTTTGGAGAAAGCAAAGCTAATACTTGATGGGGCTCCATCCTGACAATGGTGGTACCTGTGAGGGTTACTGGGTTTTCACAGGGAGGGAGTCCCTTCCCCAGGTCCTCCCTGATCATTCGTCCTGGGTTTCCAGCTAAGAAGGCACTTTCAGTTTGGATGTTTCTCTGTCATCTAAAATCCCTTGTGTCCAAAAGCCAGCTCCAGATCTCCTCTGCTGAAGTGGGTTCCCGCTGCCGAGAGTACTTGGGAAGACAGTGTCTGGAAGGCATGTGGGGCAGCCGCTCATTGTCATGATCCGTGAATCAGTGACTCCAAAGAGTGTTCTGTGGACTCTGATGATGTTTGGAAAGTTTTACGTGAAGACAGAGAACGTCATGGAATGAAACTGAGCAGGACTGAGAACCGTGATTATTTCTTAGGTTGAGGCTGATGGGCTTTTCAATTCTTTCATTATTAAGCTCACCCAGTTTTGAATCTCAATCAAAATGCTATTTAAATTCCAAAACAGAGACTCCCTTGCAGCAAAGAGTGATGATGTGGTAGTTAAACAGAAAGGACCATTATGTGTCTCGTGGAAACGTGTAGGTGAAATTCATGACACTGGGAATGTCTCAGCAAGTGTGGTAATTTAAAAAGTCTGACTGGATCAGGGGACTAGGGTGTGTAGGGTGTGTATGTTTTTACTCAACCCCCATGTATTTAACATAAACCATATCCCCGATTCTGCCCTATGTGGAAATCCTACCTGGACCAGACTCTGGGCTGCACAGCTCTGATTGGTGAGAGATTCTTTGGAAATATTTCTTCACCGTGGAACATGGCCTGTTGGGATGGCGTTCTCTGCTGGCTGCGCACTGGTCAGTCCCCTGGTTAAAGGCAGAAGATGACCGTGTTCCAGCTGATGTCCTCTGTGTTCGGGAAGCTGGGTGGCCAGCAGGTTTCACTCCCCATGCAACTTCACAAGCACCAGGAAGTGCAGGCCACCCTTCGCCCTCCTTTCCCTAGCGGGGAGGTGGGGGTGGGGTGCCCTGGTGAGCAGGAAGTGCAGGCTGCCCTTCGCCCTTCTTTCCCTAGTGGGGAGGTGGGGGATGGGGGGCCCTGGTGAGTGTTTCTCAAGTCCACACACAGCCGGGCTGGCGAGTCACTTAGGTGGCAGACACGAGGGGCTCACCTTTCTGCTCCATGTTCTCGGGAAAGACAAGCTCACTTCTTTTAGAAGTTCATTAAAAGCTAGCCGCTCTTAGGGATTTTACTGCAAACCAATCAACCTAGACCTGTACATGAGTCTGACCTCACCCTGATTCACCGGCCTTCCATTTTGACTTTACCCATCAGTGATAGGAATTGATTTCAAAGGCTCTAAAATTAGCTCTGTACATCAAAGAATTGTTATAGTGTGTCTCTGCAACGTTGCTGTTTTACAGGTGCTGCTGGGCCGCCTGCTCTTAATTGGAAAAGCACAGCCCTGGGTGCAGGAGGCAGAGACTGCATCAAGCCTCTGGAAGGAAAGGCCCTGGGTAGAGGCTGGAGCACAGGGCTCTGAGCCAAACAAGGCTGCTCTACTGCCGAGGCCTGATGTAATTTCACTTGCTGACTGGCACTGCAGTGAGATAACCCTTTAATGAAGGAAGAGTACCCAGTTCCTGGTCAAAGTTTGCAATGTAATGCCCAGCATCCCCAAGGCTTCCTGCGATGACTGCCCCCCTCCCACCTGAAGAGTGCCATGCGGGCAGGGCTGGCAGCTCCTCTCCATCCCCACTGCTGACCACGAGGCCTGAAAATTAGCCACTTTTGTTTTAATTTATACTATACTTCATCTGAAGGGTCACAAATATGCTTCATTTTTTTTAAGTGCCTAATATTACTTTTACTGAGATAGTGTCTACACCAGCCCGCAGAAAGGTAATGGTTATTGAGGTAACAAGAAGAACGAACCAGACCCTCCACTTTCTCTTCAGTCGTGGGGAACGTGATGATTTCCAAGCTGTCTCATTTCCCCAATCCTCCCTTTCTTTCTGATTGTGTGGGTTGCGGCTTTGCGTACGCCATTCTGAAAAAATCAGGTCATTGCAGTCAAATAATTGGTCAAGTCAGTGAACAACAGAAAGTCAATCACATTGGCTGTTTGACTGAATCGACTGGGCTATTTGTCTCTCACAGACGTGACTGGATCACTACCAGAATAATCTGAGGGTGCCCTTTGCTGGTACCTAGGAAGAATGGCCTGGGTCCCATGGAGACATCTATCTCTGCCATGGGCTCCATCTCTGATGCCTTTGGAGTTCTCTTCATAGCCCTCAGCTTTGCTGGGTTTGGGTCTGAAGGAGCAGGAACCCCTCAGAGGGCTGTGCTCATGAAGCTCAGGACTCTGCGTTTTCTGCACCTTGTGGTGACAGCCTGCAGAGGCAGGTGTTGCTTCTCCGAGGGCCAGTAGCACCAGGGCTGACCCCAGGCCCAAGCCCTTAGCAGCTGGGCTAGAGGGGAGGGGGCCCTTCCTTCTCTCCAGCATGCTGGCTCTTCTTCTCTCTGCTGCCATAAGCTTGAGGGGAGTTTCACTCTGTCACCCAGGCTGGAGTGCAGTGGCGTGATCTCGGCTCACTGCAACCTCCGGCTCCTGGGTTCAAGTGATTCTGTTGCCTCAGCCTCCCAAGTAGCTGGGACCACAGGCATGTGCCACCATGCCCAGCTACTTATTTTTTTTTTTTTGTATTTTTAGTGGAGATGGGGTTTCACCATGTTATCCAGGATTGTCTTGATCTCCTGACCTCATGATCTGCCTGTCTTGACCTCCCGAAGTACTGGAATTACAGGCATGAGCCACTGTGCCTGGCCCACACACTTTTAAACAACCAGATCTCATGAGAACTCTATCACAAGAACAGCACCAAAGGGGGAAATCTGTCCCCATGATTCAATCACCTCCCACCAGGCTTCTCCAACACTGGGGATTATAATTTGACATGAGATTTGGGCAGAGACAGAGATTCAAACCATATCATGCTGCCCCTGACTCTTCCTAAAGCTCATGTCTTTCTCACATTGCAAAATATAATGATCTCTTCTCAACAGTTCCCTAAAGTCTTAACTCATTTCAACATTAACTCAAAAGTCCAAGTCCAAAGTCTCATCTGAGACAAGGCAAGTCCCTTTTGCTTATGAGCCTGTAAAATAAAAAACAAGCTAGTTACTTCCAAGAAACAATGGAGGCACATGTGTTGGGTAAATATTCTCATTCCAAAAGGCAGAAATCAGCCAAAACAAAAGGGCTACTGGCTCCGTGCAAGTCTGAAACCCAGAAGAGCAGTCGTTAAATCTTAAACCTCCAAAATAATCTACTTTGACTCCATATGCCACATCCAGGGCACACTGGGGCAAGAGATGGGCTCCCAAGGCCTTGGACAGCTCCACCCCTGTGACTTTGCAGGACACAGCCCCCTTGCTGCTTTCATGAGCTGGCTATGAGTGCCTGTGCCTTTTCCAGGCACACAGTGCAAGCTGTCATTGGATCTAGCATGCTGGGGTCTGAAAGACAGTGGCCCTCTTCTCACAGCTCCACTAAGCACTGCCCCAGTGGAAACTCTGTGTGGGGGCTCCAATCCCACATTTCCCCTCTGCATTCCCCTAGCAGATGTTCTCCACGAGGGCTTTGCCCCTGCAGCAGGCTTCTGCCTGGACATCCAGGCCTTTCCATATATCCTGTGAAATCTAGGTGGTGGCTCCCAAACCTCAACTCTTGCACTTTGCACAATGGCAGGCTTAATATCATGTGGACGCTGCCAAGGCTTACAACTTGCACCCTCTTAAGCAGTGGTCTGAGCTAAACCTGGTCTGCTTTTAGCCACAGGTAGAGCTGGAGTGACTGAGATACAGGAAGTAGTGTCCCGAGGCTGTGCAGGGCAGCAGGGCCCTGGTCCTGGCTCAGGAAACCACTTTTCTCTCCTATGCCTCTGGGACTGTGATGGGTAGGGTACTCTGGAGATCTCTGGAATGGCTTCAAGGCATTTTTTCCCATTGTCTTGGCAATTAACATTTGGCTTCTCTTTACATATGCAAATTTCTTCAGCCTGCTTGAATTCCTCCCTAGAAAATTGATTTTTCTCTTCCAACACATTTCTGGGCTGCAAATTTTCCAAACTTGTAGGCTCTGCTCCCCTGTGAAACATAAGTTCCTGTTTTAGGTTATTTTTGCTCATGCATATGAACATAGGCTATTAGAAGCATCCAGGCCACATGTTGAAAGCTTTGCTGATTAGGAATTTCTTCAGCCAGATACCCTAAATCAACACTCTCAAGTTCAAAGTTCACAGATTCCTAGGGCAAGGTCACAAAGCAGCTAATTGCTTTGCTAAGAAACAAAAGTGACCTTTGTTCCACTTCCCAATAAGTTCCTCATGTCCATCTGAGACCTCCTCAGCCTGAACTTCATTGTCCATATCACTCTCAGCATTTTGGTCCAACCATTCAACAAGTCTCTAGGGAGTTCCAAACTTTCATCTCCCTGTTTTCTTCCGAGCCTTTCACACTCTTCCAGACTCTGCCAGTTACCCAGTTCCAAAGCTGGTTCCACATTTTCAGGTATCTTTATAGCAATGCTCCACTCTTTGGCACCTATGTTCTGTATTAATCCATTCTCTCACTGCCACAAAAAATACCTGAAACTGGGTAATTTTTAAAGAAAATAAGCTTAATTGGCTCACAGTTCTCCAGGCTGTATGGAAAGCATGGTGCTACATCTGCTTGGGGAGGTCTCAGGAAACTTTCAATTATGGTGGAAGGTGAAGGGGAGGCAGACATCTTACATGGCCTGAGCAGGATGAAGGGGGGTGGGGAGTGCCACGCACTTTAGCCATGGATCTTGTGAGAACTCACTCACTGTCATGAGAACAGCAAGGGGGAAATCCGCTCCCATGCTCCAATCATCTCCCAACATATCCCACTTCCAACACTGAAGATTACAATTTGACATGAGATTTGTGCAGGGACGCAGGTCTGAAGCCTCCATGCCCCACACCCTTTGCTTTCATGTGATTCTCACAGGATGTGCATATGTAGGCTCAGCCAGAGTAACAGGGCTGCCTGCACCATGCCCCATGCCAACTCCTTGCTGGTGTGGCTTTCTAGCAATGCTACAACAAATCACTGCAGCTTAGTGGCTTAAAACCACACACATTTATTCTTCACAGTTCTGGGGTTAATGTTCAATAGGGGTCTCATTGGCTAAAAGTGGGGTGTCTGCAGGGTGAGTTCCTTCTGGGTGCCCTAGGGCAGAAACCATCCCTGAGTTTCCCAGCTTTGGTGGCTGCCCACACCCCTTGGCTCCTGGTCCCTCTTCCACCTCCAAAGTCAGCAGCACTGGCTGGCCTCTCACACAGCAACTTCCTGCCACCAGCTCTCTGGCCTTTCTCCCCGACATTGCAGAACCTCTGCCATTATGTCAGAGCACCTGGTCCATCCTGGGAAACCTCTTTAGTTAAACTTAGTTGATGGGCAAGCTCACTCCTGCTCACCTGTAACCATTCACAGCTTCCCAGGACTGGGACAGGGACATCTCCGGAGACTGCCGTCCCCCTCACCTGTAACCATTCACAGCTTCCCAGGACTGGGACAGGGACATCTCCGGAGACTGCCGTCCCCCTCACCTGTAACCATTCACAGCTTCCCAGGACTGGGACAGGGACATCTCCGGAGACTGCCGTCCCCCTCACCTGTAACCATTCACAGCTTCCCAGGACTGGGACAGGGACATCTCTGGAGACTGCCGTCCTCCTCACCTGTAACCATTCACAGCTTCCCAGGACTGGGACAAGGACATCTCTGGAGACTGCTGTTCCCCGATACTTGCTTTACAACTTGGTAAGTCAGCCAGGCTTCCCATCGTGCAGACACACTGCTGGCCAATGTCCCTTCTCATCTCCTACCCAGCACAGGTAGGCAGGGGTGTGGGGGGAGGGGGACCCTCTACAGAGGCTCCGCCACCACTCAGGGGCCCCACCACCACCCATGGGTCCTGCCACCACTCACGGGCCCCGCCACCACTCACGGGCCCCGCCACCACCCATGGGTCCTGCAACCACTCATGGGCCCCACCACCACTCACGGGCCCTGCCACCACCCATGGGTCCTGCCACCACTCACATGGGCCTCACCACCACCCACGGGTCCTGCCACCACTTACGGGCCCTGCCACCACTCACGGGCCCTGCCACCACCCACGGGTCCTGCCGCCACTCACGGGCTCTGCCACCACCCACGGGCCCCTTCACTACTCATGGGTTCCGCCACCTCTTACGGGTCCACACTCACAGGCGCCACTTCCTGATGCTGTTGCTCCATGAGGTCAGTCACTCCATGTGATTCACAGTGGGAAGAATGGGGGGTGTCAAGACTAGGCAATGTGTGCAGGGCCACCCAATTAGAAATGGCAGGAATTTGGATTTAAACACGGTTGTTTCTGACTTCAAATCTGACAATTTGCACAACACACATTTAAGAAACATTTGTATGTTTGCAGGAATTTGAGCTCTGAAGCCCGCAAAAGAATGAGTCCTTGCTGATGGGACACTGGCAGTGGCCTCCAGGGAGTGGCCTGTGACTGAGGTCCCTTGATCTGCTTGTGGATCTGCCGCTACATCTTTGGAGTTGAAACAGACACAATGGGAATCCACCCGTCAACTCTCATCATCAATACATTTCCGGTTCCCTAGAGGCCATGGCTGAAAATCTAGCTGGAAATCATTTTATGGATGAATGCCGGCTAACACCGTGGGGTTCCAGGTTCTGTGCTAGGTGGTCTGTCTAGGTGAGAGCACTAAATGTTCACTATGAGCCTGGAAGGAGGAGGACCCCATGACGCCCTTTCTGTAGATAAGCAAACTGCGCTAAAGGTGGTGATGACTCGCCCACTTCAGCCAGTGACCCGGCAGAAGGCACATCCCTGAACCAGGCTCCAGTGGGTGCGACTGTGCCTGAGGAGTTGTCTGGGGCTTTTTGTGGCAGCAGCCCAGGGATCAGGTGAGTACCCCTGCTGAGCTACCGATCAGGGAGTGGCAAGAAAAGTGTTTGCTGTATCTGAAATTGGTAAAACTATGAACTTTCCTACCTTATTTTCCACAAAAGTAGAAATTGAGGCAGGTATACACTGCATCAAATATTAAGTAGAAAGTAGAAAATTTACAACAACCAGACCTTAAAAAGTAAATGCTTACGTACAATGTGGCTCTGCCTTACAAGAGCTCACACTTAGTCATGTTGTTCAAACTCTATCAGCTTTAACTGTGACACTGCTTTCTTTTGGTCACTGAACATTTTTAATCTAGTCAAAAACTGCTTTGTTTTACAAAAATACTCAGAGTTGTTAGGTTTTATTTTATTAAAATCTTTATGACATCCATTCAAATGTAATTTTATAATTAATGACTATAATACATAGCTGCTATTTAATCAATATAGCTTAATGTTTCTGGTTTTAATTTGCAAACTACAAAAGAAGAGCTATTTTACTAACGTTTTATTTTGAGACAATTGTGCAGTTGTAAAAAAATAATAAAGAGAGATCCCATGCACCCTTCACTCAGTTTCCCCCAGTGGTAACATCCAGCATGATCACAGCTCAATGTCATGACCAGGAAGTGGCCACTGGCTCAATCCACTGACCTTATTCAGATCTCACCAGTTTTACATGCATTCGTGTGTGTGTGTGCACCTGTGCCTGTGTGTGTGTGCACATGTGGGTGTATTTTGTTCCCTGCAATTGGAGAGGGAAGGCTTTGTCATTCACCTATGATGTTAGCAGTAGGATGTTTTGGTAGGTGCTCTATTTCAAGTTGAGGAAATTTTCCTCTATTTTTAGCGAGAGTTTTTTTTTTTTTTCTCAACATAAATGGGTGTTGGATTTTGTCTAATTCTTTTTCTGCATCAATTGATCTGAGCGTATTATCACTTTTAGATTGTTATAGCGGATTTCTTTGGTAGAGTTAGAAATATTGAACAATCCTAGAATATCTGGAATCAATTTAATTTGGCAGCAGTGTATAAGTCTCTTAATATGTTATTGGAATCAATTTGCTAATATTAATAAGAGGACTTCTGCATCTAGATTCATTCGATACATTGGCCTATAGTTTTCCCTTTTGTCTGGGTTTGGTTCAGGGTAAAACTTGCCTCATAAAACATGTTGAAAAGTGTTTCCTCCTCTTCTATGTTCTGAGAGAGATGATAAAGAATCAATATTAAACATTTGGTAGAAGTCTTCATTGAAACAATCTAGGCCTTGGGATTTATTTTTTGAAAACTTTTAAGTTACAAATTCAATTTCTGTAATGCTTATAGAATCTTCAGATGATCTCATTTATTTTGGTAGCGTTTTGGTATATTTTGGGCTTTAATGGGCTGGTTTGTGTTTTCTAAGTTGCTGAATTTGTGACCGTAAAGTTGCCTGTAATATTCTCTTACCATTTCAATAGCTGCGGGAACTGCAGTGAAATCCCTGTTTCATTCTTGACACTGGTGATTTGTCTTCTGACTTTTTAAGTTTGTAAATATTTCGAGAAGTTATAATTATTGATTTGAAGAATCAGCCATTTTGTTTTATTGATTTTCTCTATTGCTTTCTTGTTCTCAATCTCAATGATTTTTGATTTTCTTTATTATTTCCCTTCTTCTACTTGCTTTAGTTAATTTTTCTCTTCTTTTTCTAGTTCTTGAGGTTGGAACTTAGATTATTGAGATTTTTATTCTTTAAAAAATGTAAGCAATTAGTGCTATGAATTTTCCTGTCAGCACGGCTTTAACTGTACCCCATATATTTGATATATTGGCCTTCTAATTTTCATTTGTTTTTTGGAGTATACACATTTAGGATTGTTATTTTTTTCCTGACTGATTCATCCTTTTCTCAAATGTAATATCCCTTCTTGGTTCTAATAATTTTTTTTTGCTTGGAAGTCTATTTTGTCTAATATTAATATAACCATTCCTGCTTTTAAAAAAATTGTTTGCTATATATATATATTCTTTTACTTTAAAAAACTACCTGATGCTATATTTGAAGTGAGTTTCTTATACACAGGCTACTGTTGGATAATGTTTTCTTTTCTTCTAACCTATTCTGCTAATCGCTGCCTTTTAATTGGTGTATTTAGATCATTTGCATTTATGGTAATTAGTGATGTATTCAGATGCAAGTTTTCCATTTTATTGCCTGTTTTCTGTTTGTAACCTCTGTTTCTCATTCTTCTGTTCTCTTTTCTTGTTTTCCTGTGAAAACTTTTAAAGCATACATCTTGAGGGGTTTGTCATGTTTTCAAACATATTGCCTTGTATAATTTAACTAGCAGTTGCTCCAGCTATTGTAATACACATGCGTAGGTTATCACAGCCTCCTGGTATTGATGCTTTACTACTTTGAGTAAGGTATAGCAAACTTACTTTCACTTAGATTCCATTATCCTCCCTACTTTTAAAAATATAATTGTCTTAAATATCTCCTGTACATGCAGTGATCAGCACATGACTTAGTGTTTTATAATTTTTGCTTCAACCATCAAATATGATTTAAGAAATTCACGGGAAGGCATTATACTATATTTACCAATTTTTTACCCATTTCAATGCTTACCCTTCCTATCTGAAGTTCCAACCATTCTTCTGTAATCTCTTCTTTTTTTTTTTTTTTTTTTCCGAGATGGAGTCTTTCTCTGTTGCCCAGGCTAGAATGCAATGGTGTGATCTCAGCTCACTGCAACCTCTGCCTCCCAGGTTTAAGCAATTCTCCTGCCTCAGCCTCCAGAGTAGCTGGGATTAGAGGTGCGTGCCATCATGCTTGGCTAATTTTTTTTTGTATTTTTAGTAGTGATGGGTTTCACCATGTTGGCCAGGCTGGTCTCAAACTCCTGACCTCGTGATCCACCCGCCTTGGCCTCCCAAAGTGCTGGGATTACAGGCGTGAGCCACTGTGCCCGACCTCTTCTTATTTATAGAAATTCCTTCATTATTTAAAGGTATTTTTGCTAGTGACAAGCTTTTCTTCCTCTTAAAATGTCTTTATTTTCCCTGATTCCTGAAAGAGATTTTTGAAGGATATAAAAATGTATGGTTGACAGATTTTTTCTTTGGTGCTTAGGAAATGTTCTGCTACTTCCTCTGGCTTTCTGCTTCCTTCTGTGGCTCTGGCTTTCTCCTTCTTTCTGTGGCTCTGAAGTGGTTTCAGATGAGAAATAACCTGTCATGGGAATTGTCATTTCCCTGTAAGTAAAGTGTCATTTCTGGCTGCTTTTAAGAATGTTTTCTCTGTTTTTAATTTTTAGAAGTTTAATTATTATGTATCTTGTCATGGATTTCTTTGGATTTGTCCAATTTTGGATTCACTCACTATCTTGAATTATTTATTTGTTTATTTATTTGCAGGATTTGGGAAGTCCATCCATGAAAGGTGTTTTAGTTCACGCTCTCTCCTTTCCTTCTGGGACTCTGAGGGCAAGAATGTCGGCTCTTCATTTCTCGTCCCGCAGGTCCCTGACGGCGCTTTTATTTCTTTCAATCTTTTTTCCCGTCCATTGTGCAGGTTGGGTATATGCTAGTGTTCTGTCCTCAAATACATATATTCTCTCCTCTGCCGTTTTCACTCCACTGAGCCAACTCAGCAAGTTTTACGTTTTAGTTATTGCCTTTTTTGATTCTATCATCTTCACTTGGTCCTTTTTTATAGGATCTATTTCTTTGCTGAGATTTTCCATTTTTCACTTGTTTCAAGAGAATGTATAATTGCTACGGAAGCATTTTATGATGGTTGCTTTAAAGTCTTTGTCAGACATTTCAGCACTGGTTCATTTCAGTGTTGGTGTCTGTCAATTGTCCTCTCATCTGCATTGTGACTTTTTTCTGCATCTTCCTGTGATGAGTGAGTTGATTGGATCCTGGCCATTTTGATGACATTTGAGACTCTGGATCCTACTTAGGAACGTGTCTTAGCAGGCAGTCTTCCTGGTGAGGTGTGGGTGGGTGCGTTCAGCTTTCTGCAAGCCCCCTCCTGAGTCCTGACACCTCTCTGGCCACTGTGGGGGACCAGCTCACACTGCCTCACTGCAGATGAGCTGAGGGGGGCATTCAGTTTCCTGTTGGTCCTACTGATGCCTTCCAGGGAAGGTGGGCAGCAACTCGTATAGCTCATGGCCTCTGAGCAGAGGTGCTGGCTCAGCTCCTGGCTGCAGGTGACACCAGGAAGGTGGATGGGAGGGCAAGCTGGGCACGGCAGTTCCAACCCCTACTCAGTGCCACGGTTGGGACGTCAGCGGAGTTGCACCATCACCTCTGAGAGTGCTGTGGAGGTTCAGTGTCTGGTCAGCCTGTGACGCTGTGGGGGGCCTGTGTGTTCCATGGGTGTTTGGTAGAGCAGAATGGGTGTTGCTGACACACCTTTCTGTTCTCTGGGGCCGCCCTTCTCCCCGGCCTTCTCCCTGTCATAGGAAATAGCCTTCTCCTGGATTTTCTTTCTGTGCCTATTGGCGGCTCCAGCTTGGAGGTTTCTGCAGTTCCTGGACTAGGACACGCTGGGGATCTGCCCCAGGCCACCCTCAAGCCCTGGGGACCTCATCTGTCCAGCTCCTCTCCTTATTCCAGAGTCTTCTCTCTGTATTTCCTGTGTTGTGCCCAGGGCTTTAGTCCTAACACTGGGCCTGAGAGGAAGGGCTGCTCCATCTTAGTGGAACCAGATGCTCAAAAAAAGCTATTTAGACATTTTAATTATTCTTAAATTAAAGATTTTGCCTCTTTGGATAATTTTTTCAGGGATGATGTCTGATTTCCTTAATCTGTGATTAACCTTTGATTGGAAACTGTTCTAAGTTTTCCAAAGACTGCCTCCCCTGTCTCCTTCACTAACTTACACCCTTACCACTTGCATGGGAAATGCAAGCTTGCTTTTTTCAAGGGGATCCTGAGCTTCTCTCAAGCGTTTGGAGTTTCCTATGCTTCTTGCAGATTTTCAGCCACAGAAAAGCTTTTACCATTCATTCTCAGGCCAGGGTCACACATTATCTTCTTAAAGGACAAAATGAGATTGTATGTATCTGGTTTAGAGGTTGTGATGAAGACTCTGTTGATTATCAGATGAAGGACAAGCAGTCCCTACGCCTTCCTCTTAGAAAATCACAGTTTGCTAAAATGTCTCCTGACAAAATCCTCTTCAAATATTACGTTTCTAGGCCCTTTTATAATCTCCATCTAAGTGGGTACCAGGATCCTATAACTGAGTCTCAAGGGTGCCCCCTGAGATTCCTGCTTGGTACCCTGACCCCTGTCCTGGTGCTTCTGTTGAATTTTCCACTTTAATGTCTCCAAATGTGAGGTTCCTGCCCAGCCTCTTCTCATTTTATGCAGTCATCCCACTCGGCCTAGAACTTTAGTGAAATTTCCATCTCCAGTCTCAAACTTTAGACCTGGTTGTTGTTTTTTTCACATCGCTTAACTGGATATCTCTATAACAGACCTAAAATTCTCCCTCCCTCATCCACACACATGCACATGGACACAGAACACACACATAGGCTCACATGCACACATACAGCACACACATGCACACACACAGGACACATATGCTCATGTGGACACACATGTACACATATACATCACACACATGCTCATGCACACACACGCACATGGACACAACACACATGCTCACATGGACACACATGCACATGGACACAGCACACACAAGCTCGTGTGCACACCCACACACCCATGGACACAGCACACACATGCTCACGTGCACCCACATGCACATGAACACACAGCACACACATGCTCACGTGCACACACATGCACATGGACACAACACACATGCTCACATGCACACACATGCACATGAACACACAGCACATGCATGCTCGTGTGCATACACACACAGCCATGGACACAGCACATATACATACAGAGATGCATAGCATTGGCATACACGAACATACACACCAATGCACACACTCACCAAACCTGTTTCTCCTTTTGTGTTTCTATCCAGATGAGGGCACCTCTGCTCACTGTGGCTTTGCACCACCTCATAGAAGCTTTGATGGTTCTCCAAGCTGCTTCTCTTCCTGGTTCCCACTCCTCTGCCCATGTTGTCTCCACGTGCTCTTCATCCCAGGGCTTCAGGAGCGGCTGCCGCCTCCCCCAAGTCACAGGCCCCGGCTCGAACTCACTGCTCCTTCAAACTCCACTGCATCACCTGGCCTTGGACATACTTCATCGGGCCGCCTGTCAGCACCACCATCTCCCTGCAAGGCCAGGAGCCCCGGGGTGAGGGCAGCGTGGCTCCACTCTGGAAGACCTCCCTGCCAGCCCAGTGGCGGGGGTGGGGGGTGGGGCTCGGGAACGGCCAAAAGGAAAAGGATGACATTCTTGGGCCGGAGGACTGTGAAACCCAGACTGCAAACAACTTCACTCCCCTCACGTGTGTCTTTGTGAGGGAGAAGCGCATTCATCGTATCTGTGAAGTGTCTAATGGAGGCCCCATTGTGCACTTCAGGGCCATCTGGAAGGGGCCTGACTCCGGCCCCTGCAAGGCGGTGGATGCCAGCGCTCAGACATGACGCAGTGCACAGGGCCCAAAGTTTTAAAGGCCATCGGTTTAAAAGTGGGGCTTTTAAGGGACTAAAAGCAAGTTTTCTCAAGACCTCTCAAAACAGAAGGCTCCAATGGTGGGAATAAACTCCTGAGGAGGAAGGAGGAGTTTAGGATGCAGCAGTCACATTCAGGACGCACGGCTTAGGGAGAGGAGGGGGAGAAGGGCTGGGTTCTCCCCCTGGCTTAGGGAGAGGAGGAAGAGAAGGGCTGGGTTCTCCCCCTGCCTTAGGGAGGGGAGGAGGAGAAGGGCCGGGTTCTCCCCCTGTTGATTCAGCTCGGTGTTTTCCACGGAGCGGTTTGGGGCTCGGGACACCAGGGAAACCATGATGGACACCTGCGTGCCAGGGCTGTTCTGGGACTCAGTGTGAGGCTGATGGCCTCATCCACCTGGGCAGGTGGGGCAAGGGGTGCCAGGGGTGAGCTTGCAGGGTTACACTGTCCAGGAGGTGTGGGAATATGAGGTTGTGGGGTGTGCAGATGTGGGGTGTGGGGGGTGTGGGAGGTGAGGGGGTATATGGGTATGGGGCATGGGATGTGGGGGTTTGAGGGGTGTGGGGTGTGGGGGTTTGAGGAGTGTGGGGGTGTGGGATGTGGGGGTGTGGGGTGTGGGATGTGGGGGTTTGAGGGGTGTGGGGGTGTGGGGTGTGGGGGTTTGAGGGGTGTGGGGTGTGGGATGTGGGGGTGTGGGGTGTGGGGGTTTGAGGGGTGTGGGGGTTTGAGGGGTGTGGGGTGTGGGATGTGGGGGTGTGGGGTGTGGGGGTGTGGGGTGTGGGGGTTTGAGGGGTGTGGGGGTGTGGGGTGTGGGGGTTTGGGGGTTTTGAGTGCGATCTTTCTTTGGAGGCCTGGAACACATTCTCTCCCACCTATGAATGTCTAGATGCTTGCTTAGAATCAGAATGACTTGGTATAATTTTATTTTAAATGCACTCCTTATGAGGGCAAAACCCGGGAAATCTATATTTATGTCTTATCAAACCAACTGGAAATGAGAAGTGCCTGGGCCCAGGTCAGTGGGTATCGTTCCATTCTCTATTTCTTTCCTAACAGGAGTCCTTGAACCAGGAGGGAAAGGTGAGTGGATGGCAGGGACGACGGGGCCCGGGGGAAGCAGCACGGGCTGTGTCCTAAGGATCCTCCACCTGCTCATGTCCAGGAGCACGAGAGACCTCTTGTTTATGCCTTCAGTTAACATCAGTCCATTGTATCGAAGGTCTCAGGCATTCCGTATAGGCTGCCATGGGCCCAGAACCTGTGAATCCAATCTCACTGGACGCCGGCCTCCGTACCGGCACCTCCCTGTGACCCGGGCCAGGTTGCTTCGCACCCAGCTCCTTGCAAAGTGTCTCAGGTTCCTCTCTGGCAGGGTGCAATCCAGACTCGGTTGATCTCCATAAGGCCGTCTAAACTTGGATGAAAAGGCCCTGCAATGCCAATTATTATTATTATTATTATTATTATTATTTAAAAAGTGAGTTACTCTGCCAGGAAGCTGCCCCAAGCTCACCCAGCTCAGATTATGACGCTAATTATAGTGATTATGAAGAAGAGAGCGCGTGATTGCTACCGACCCCCCTCGCTGCCCTGAGAACAAATGCGAGGGACAATGGACGGCGGCTCCGCCCTTGCCGGGCTGCCATGCGGGCGATCCCTGACCCGCTCCCTCCCGTTCATTAGCAGCGCTGGTCGCCAGGACGCGGCCTCTTCAATCATTGCCGACCACCCCCGGCTGCCATGCACGGAGACAGACGCCGCGCGGCCGGAGAGGCCGGAGGTCGAATGTGAACTGCGGCGTTGCCGGGTGCCCAGGCGAGGCGGTGGGGTCGCCGTCGGGGCAGGCCGCTGTGGCAGCCTCTGTGTGTGTAGGAAAGCCGCTCTGCATGCCGGGGTGCGGCACCTACTGTGTTTTTGTTTTCTCCTTGCAGCTGAATGCACTCAACAGTTTTCCATTTCTCTTTTCCTTTGGTGCAGGGGGTGGGCAGAGAGTGGTGGTTTCACTCGGTCAGTTTTCTGGAGCTGCAAGGCTAACATTCATAGCAAGCAAGGGGACCTCCTTCGCCTGGGTTCCCTCTGCCCCTGCTCCGAGCTTCCAGACTAATGTGGCCTGGAAGCTTGGGAGGTTTCTGCGTCTCCGCCACCTTCCAATTTGCAGTGGCCGGCCTCTGAAGACTGACAGGCCGCAGCGCCGGTGCCAGTGTAAATGAGCCCATTCATTTCCTGCCGCTGGCATATGGCATGTCATTGTCCGCAGTCACCGAGGCAGAAGTGATGCAATTTGTTGGCATGTCCTGCTGCAGAACAGACTCTCCATCCCACTGAGCCCCCAAGAAAACAACAGAAGCCACGAAAGGGCAGCCAAAACCTTCACAGCTTCATCAAGCACGCACATACGGCACAGGGACGCAGGCAGCACACTCTCCATTTCTGTGCCTTCAGTGGGAAGGGCAGAGGGATGGAGGAATCTCAGAGCTTCTCAGCTCTCACTGTAACCACAAATAATGCCCGAGTCACGGATACCGCAAACCATTCTCAAGATGTCGTTCAAAACAGTCTTCCTTTTGCACGTCTATTTCTACTTTTGTTTCTGACAAACTGAACCACAGCAGAGACTGAAACAAGCCAAGTGGTGAGAGTTTAAATGCATCCTCAGCAGCAGGACACAACATACATCCAGCACGGCTCCTGCGGGAAAGCGGGTGGCTGCTTGTGGAAGGGTCCAGGTGTTGTTTCATTAGGAAAAAAAAATGATGCATCATGTTTGCTGGGAAAAGTCAAAGCACAGCTGCATGGCCAGGGGGAGCTGCATGGCCAGGGGGAGCTGCATGGCCAGGGGGAGCTGCATGGCCAGGGTGTGGTCAGGTTCACACCCCCGGGAGCTGGGCTTTACAGAGCAGCCCCATCCAAAGGTTGCAGCCAATCTGAAAACAGGCAGAAGCATTTGGCTCCATACAGTCTGCATGTTCACAACTGTGATAAGGACATGCTAAAGTCCAGGCTGGTGGGATCGCTCCCATAATGGATTTGAGAGGACCACGTGATTCACATGTTGTGATGAAACATATGAGCCTTGCATCTGTGTGGTGTCACTGAAGCATGTTTACAGGAGAGGAGTCCAGCTGAGCCTGCCAGTGAAGACAAGCACTAGGTGCCCACACACAGTTAAACTATTACTGTGAGAAACAGGCCCACGTGAGTGCAGCAAGGTGACCTACAGGTGGCTGCAGACCTCTGTGATTTAGAAGCTGCCTGGATCTGCAGCATCCAAAGAATCTTTCTGATCTTCATGATCATTGATCTGAGAATGGTTCATGATCACTGTCTGAGAAGGTTCTAAAATTCCTTCTAGCTCCAAAATTCCTCAACTTGATCATGGATGGCTCCTCCTCAGCGTTCATCAAGTCAGGAGTTCAGTGGCCGTGAACAGGTGGTCCCTGTTAGGCTAGGCTCCCTCACACTGGGAAGGCTGGCTGGTCCATGGTCCTGCTGGGTGTCAGGTGTCATGTGAAATGCATGGGACAGAGTGAAATGCACTAAAGTGACAGTGGTCTTCATACTGAATCTCATAATTCAGGATATGAAATTGGGATCTGAGACCAAAGGCTGAGTGCAGCTTTGTTTGAGAAGCTAGTGCCTGAGCAGGGGCACAGACCATGGTTAGCTGCTTGTTAGAAAAGCCGGTCACTGAGAGGGGCACAGACCATGGTTAGCTGCTTTGCCTTGGAAGTTTCTTTAGGTTTGGGACCACTTCTCTCTACCTTTATTAATATTGCAGTGAATAGTGCGGCATGCAGAGAGGTACTGAACAAAGACATTTTGATGAATTCATATTGATGCATTTACCTGCAGAGAAAATGAAAATAAATTAATTATTAGCTTAAAAAAGAATGTAGGAATAGAACATTGCAACTTACATTCTTAGGAAATTTAAAAGTTTTCCATATTAGAAAACAAGTAAAAAACCCCTCTACATTTTGTGAAAGATATTCTATTTCACTTTCTTATTGTAAAAAAGGAAAATGATTGAAAAGGGAAGATAAATGAGCATGACACACATTCACTGCTTTTGAGTTGCAAGCACAGTTACAGATAGGAGAAAAAAGATACAAATACTTATTGATGACTCATTTGTGTTCTGAGCACTAGGAATACACCAATGAACAAAGGGACAAAAATTCCTGCCCTGGAAGAGCATAAAGTCTGGTGAGCAGGGGACTTCTGCTCCTGGCAAGACGGAGTAGCGGGACATTTCTGATCCCTCCCACCAAGCACAACCGAAACGCTGGACGTGATCCTTGCCTAAACCTGAAGGGCCCTGACGGTGGTTAGGAGGCCGTCTGGAGATCTCAGGACCAGGGAAGCCAGGGCGGTGGCTGCCTGCATTTTCCCATGGCCTCATACATCCCAGACTGGGAGGTGAAGAAAGTGGTGACCGGGGAACACCTACAGGCACAAACAAAACAGCAACAACAAAAACCAACCCAATAGAAGCCTCATCCTTCTAGGCAGAGGACCTAGAATGGGACAGCCCAGTAATACAGAAAACGTTCAGACAGTGACTGCCTCACCCCAGCCAAATGCCCTGAGCAGCTGGGGTCATTCACACCAGCAAAGGCTGGGGCCCCGACTTCCCCTCGTCAGGCTGTCATGGGGCAACCCGGCCCCCACCAGGTGGTCTCAGAGAAGGTCGCGTGGGGAGCTGCCATTTGGCCCCCCACTGGCCTGTGATGAACCCTGGCCTGGCGTGGTCACTGGGGAGCTGATGTCCACTCCCCTGGGAAGGAACAAGGTCCCTGCCCCTCCCTGCAGGGTAGTCTCCGAGGAGGCCAGGTTAGTCAGGACTTTCACCCGCCCAGGGGCAAGGAGTCCCCCAGTAGTGTCAGTGGGTGCCCCAGTGGAAGCTGGGACTACCACAGCTCCCCAGGCAGGGATGGGGCTGGGTGGTGGCTGGACTTCCCTTCCACCTGGCACAAGTTTGGAGTTAGCGTCTCCAGGTATCCACTAAGCAATGTCAGGAGAAGCCGACCACAACTAACGTTTTGAGTTAGGCCCAGAGTCTCAGAAGCAGCATGGTGTCCGAGCTTCAGACCCACGCTGCTCATTAGACCAAGAGCCCCAAGATCTCAAGCTGAATGAACAGAGACAACCCACAGAATCCACCCAGGGGGACACGTGGGACTGTCTCCAGGGTCTGATGAACTGCAGTGCACCCAAGCAGAGAGCACCACTTAGCAATGAAAGGCACAAACCCAACATGCTGGCCACCAGGATGGACTCAAACGAAACAGGCTGCGTGGAGGAAGCCATGTCTGCAAAACTGCCTTGAGGGAGCCACGCCCACCCGACGGAGCCACACCCACCGTGAGGGAGCCACGCCCACCACCAAGGAGCCACGCCCACTATCAGGGAGCCACACTCACCCCAGGGAGCCACGCCCCCGCGGGGGAGCCATGTCCGCAAGGCCTCGGTGTACACAGCCCTCCTGAGGGTGATGGAACTACAGGGGTGGAGGACAGATTCGGCGGTTCCAGGGGCTGGGGAGGAGGGGGTGGGAGGGAAGTGGCTGCGGCTACAAAAGGCCCGCAGGAGGGACCCTCGTGTGAGGGATGCGTCTGTGTCTGTCCTCGTGCTGAGATTTTACTGTCATTTTTCAAGTGGCGGAACTGGGTAAAGGACGCCAGGCATCTCTCTCTTCCTGACAATTGCATGCGTGTCTACAGTGATCTCAGCATACAAACTCCAGGCACCATGAAGGACATGGAACCCACGTGGGCCACGGCAGTGCCATCCTTGCTGTCACACGGTTTTCTGTTGGCCGAGGGGGCGGATAGGAAACAGCTCACGTGTGAAACAATCACAGGTTGTGCTAAGAGCTGTGAACATCAGATCTCGGTCGGAGGGGATAACAGGACACCCTACCGTGGGCGAGCATTGTCCAGAAAGTGGATGAGGGAAGGCGCAGGCTGGCAAAGCTGCACTTGGGGAGGAGGGAGGGCGGCCACGGGGGGCTGGACCTGGGATCTGGAAGACGAAGCAGCTACAGGAGGGGTTCAAAGAGCCACAGGGGACCCTCAAAGGTCTAAAGCTGAGGAGTGATGAGTCTGGATTTGCATTTAAGTAAACATTACTCTGGAATCTCTTGGGCAATGGGGTTGAAGAAAGCCAGTGCAGAAGCCAGGAGATTCATTGGAAGGCCACGCCAGCTCACTCAGAGGGAGGCAAGGGCCTGGGCCGGGGGCAGCAGCGCCTGCAGATAGATAGGGGAAGACTGGAGATGTAGGGTGGGGAGGGCAGGGGTCATGGAGCGTAAAGTGTGGTTTCCACGTGTATGGGCTGAGCTGACCGGGAAGTGGACGTGCCACCTGCAGATCTTGGGCTAAATCCTATGGGGCACAATCCAGGTTTACTCAGATATTAAAATGACGCCGAGGACCCCAGTGTGGAGAAAACTTGTATGTTACCATTTACATAGGAATTATCCCCAAGCCGGGCAGTTCTCCTTGGCTCCTGGGTTGTGTGTCCTGTTCGTCACGCGTCTATTCTCATCCTTAGGATCCTGTGTGTCCAGTCCTAAACAGGACTATCTGGCTATGTGATGCTCCTTGTCATTATCTAATAATGTAAGTGAACGTTTTTGGATATGTGGCAAAGTAACATTCTGAATTATGACACTGAAGGCTTTACGACTTTTTAAACTCTGTCCTCAGGATGATTCTCCCTCCTTGAATGCTGACTCCCTCTCTGCCCAGAGAGGAGAACATGGACCCCTCGCCATGGGACTGGAAAGTAAAGGCTGGAGAGCCTGGCACTTTGGTCCAACGGCCGCGGCCCCAGTGTAAGAAGATGTTTTCCTTTCTGCACACTAGATAAAGGCTGCTGTTATTTAGGAAAGGAAAGATGTGGGCTTGGGGTCCACAAATAGCAGAGGGGACTGAAGTTCCTGGTGACCACAGCTGAGAGCCCCGTTCAGCTCTGGGGGTAGTTGATACCATGGCATGCTGGGGCCATCATCCCCTTCTGACATCTGTTCCACAGCCTGGCTCGCTGTCTGCCCTCCTAAGACGGGGTTGCAGCCCAGACCCTGTAAGCCTGGTACTCCATACCCTGAATGCACAGATCAATCCTGCTTCCTGCCAGCTGTTCTACCGAAATTATGAATAGAGCCCCTTTCACTCTCAACAACATCATGGCTGAGGCGATCAATTATATGGTCACCCTATGAGACCAGGAGAGGAGGGCCCCTTTGTCTTGACCAAGGCAGGAACTAGGTGGCACCGGGGCAGAGCACTCCTGTCCCAGGTGTGAGAACTCATCCTAGGAATGCCTAGGTCCACGTCTCCGAGAACAGCACAACTTACCTTTCAGGGAACGTGCTTCTAATGGTTTTTTTCTTTTTATTACCAAATTTGACTTAGAAAGTCAAATGGTTGCCTATTAGAGAAATTCTATGGTGTTGCTTACTGAACCACACAATAAAGTGTGAAACCTTGACAGTGTCTGGTAGTATACAATAATACACCTAAATCTACTCTTTTTTTCCTCGGCGATAGGGTCTTACTTTGTCACCCAGGCTGGAGTGCAGTGGCGCCATCATAGCTCACTGCAGCCTCCACCTCCCATGTAGCTGGGACTACAGGCTTGTGCCACCATGCCCGGCTAATTAAAATCCACCCTTCAAAAAAATACTGATTGAATTCACTATTCCAGTTGCTACAGATCAAAAACTGCTGAGACGCGCTTCCTGTCCTCCAAGAAGAGAAGCATTCCACACAAGGCAGATGGATATTAAGTGCAGAATCACGAGAGTGTGACGTGGACGAGATCAGTGAGCAAAGGGCCCACAGAGAACACAGTCTAAGAACAGGCGGGATTTCAGCTGAATCCTGTGTGGAAGTCAGAATCATGGACTCCATGTGTGGAAGCTGAGAAGGCACGAGGAAACCCAGCTGCAGGCGGAGTCTAGAGATGGACACGGACAGGGTCCCAGGGACTGCGAATGCCTGGAAGGCACACAGCACAGTGAACAGATCGGGGAAAAGCACGGCTTCCTTCAACGAGAGCAAGCATTACTATAAGGTCTCTCCCCAAACTTGTTCAGTTTTCCTGGGGCTCCCATTCCCTGGATTCTGTTACTTTCTCCTTAAATATTGATGGCTCGTTGCTAGCAGTTCCCCCCAAACCATGACGTAACTGTGTCTTCTGTCAATTTCACCACGTTCTTGCAAATGGAGGCAACTCCTGATAAGACCCAATCCCAGATCAGCCTGGGCTGCCGAGAGCTTCCAAGAACATCAGGTAAATGGAGACTGATGCTAAAGTCACAGCCGCCGAGTTCAGCAGGTTCTTAAAGCCATCGTGAGCCTTCTCCGCCTCTTGCCTGCTTTGTCTTTACTTTTTCCTCTCTGTGGTTTTTTTCCCCCACCAGCATTTAAATATCAACAAGTCTTTCTTACCTGAAAAATAAATACCTTGAACAGACTTTTCTGCTTTTGGTCAAGATAGAGTCATAGGAACCTTAGGTACCCTTCTGTTTGAAACAACTAAAAAAATAGATGAAATGCATGAAAAAGTGGCACTCCAGACATCGGACCTCAGGCAACAAAAGAGCAATCCATTAAAGACAGGAGGCGGGAGAGGCATGCTGGGGATTAAACAGCATCCAGACTCTCCTAACATCACTGGGAGAGTCTCCCAGGCACGACACAGTGCGGGACCCAGGGAGAGCCTGGTGGTCCCCCTGAATGGGGGAATCAGAGCTGGGCATCCAGTTAGACAAGAGAGTTAGAGTCCCCAGGGCAGAGAGCTGGAGAGAAGAGATCTTCAGAGACAATTCGCCAGAGACCTGCAGATCTTGAGTTAAGTCGAGTGCAGTTCAGCAGGTCGGTCCTGCAGGGACCATGCCCGGGGCCAGAGGAGGAGCCCCCCAAAAGGATGAGTGGGAGCAGCACCCCGTGTCACAAGGGCTGGAAACATGCCCGTCGCGAAAAGCCCAAGAATGCCCTTCTTACTCAGGGGCCATCTGTTAGGCTTCTAAGATGGCTCTTGCTTCAGTCTCACTTGACAAATCCCAAATCCACTCCTGATAAAGTCTTTCATCAAACAGCAGGAGGCATTCCTCAGCCTGATAAATGTAGCCCATGGAACCCCGAGGCACAGGGGTGGGGTGCGATGTTCCTGCTGGGTGGTTGCCTCCAGGCGCGTGCACAGGTATGTGGCAGCACATCTGTGTGTGTGCGTGTTACGCCCCATGATTGTAGTGATGCCACTGGCTTTCATTCAGCTCTGCATGGCTCATTCCAGCCCTTTCTCCCCAATTCTCTATAACCTCCCACTCTGTCTGGAAGATGCTAACACCCACCATCACTGTCCATGCACTTAGCTGCTTGGTTCCTCTGCGTGTGTAGCGTGGTTTCAGAGTTCTTAGTCCACACCTCCCCTGGAAACAACATTATCAGCCAGAGAACAGTTCTTAGGCCCGGTCTTTGTGCCTCATGGATCCCACCTGTTTCCAAAGTCACTTATTCAGCATGCTGCACCCACTCGCCCCTGCAGGGAGGCTGCTTCACACCCTGGGATACAATCACAATTCTTTTGTCACAGGCTGCATTCCATGCTGGAATCTCCCCACCTCCCAAATGATGTTTAAAATATTTTCACTGATGTGTTGTAGTTATGCAGATTTTCACTGATGTGTTGTAGTTGTGCAGATTTTGCATATTTTGGCATACGGCTGATGTTTTTATCCTTGTGTACAATGTGTACTGTTTAAATCATGGCAATTGGGATATTCATCACCTTGTTTATCTTTCGTTTGTGTTGGGAAAATTACAGTTTTTCTTTTCTAGTTATTTTGAAATATACAATAAATTATTGTTAACTGTAATTTCTCTACTGTACTATTGAATACTGAAACTTATTATTTTTACCTAAGTGTATGTTTCCATTAACTAACCATTCTCTATCTCTCTTCTCCACTTCTCAGCCCCTGCACCATCATTCTACTCTCTATGTCCATGAGATCCACGTTTCTAGCTCCCCCATATGGGCGAGAACATGAGATATTTATTTTTCTATGTCTGGCTTCCAAATGATTTTTTAAAAACTTTGCATACACTTGGGTTTATTCTTTGTGCTATAAAGTTTAATGGGTTTTGACAAACACAACATATCATGTATTCACCATTATAGAAGTGTACTGAATAGTTTCATCACCCTGAAATATCAGCTGTGCTTCACCGAGCCCTCTCCCCCTACAACCACTGGTTTGTTCACTGTCTCTATCATTTTCTCTTTTCCAGAATGCCACACAAATGGAATCATATTGTGTGTTGGCTGTTCACACTGGCTTGTTTCACTTAGCAATATGCATTTAAGATTCATCTATGTCTTTGGTGGCTTAATATCACATTCTATTTTTTTAAAAAAAGGAGATGTAAAAAACCTACTGTAAAAGTGTTCAATTTAAAGTACAATTCAGTAGTTTTTAGTACATGTGCAACTATCATTGCTAACTAATTACAGAGCATTTATGACTGAATAATATTCCATTGTACAGATACGCCATGGTTTGTCTGTCCCTTCACGTGGGGAAGGACAGTTTGGTTGTTTTCCATTCCTGACAATTATTTTAACAGCAGCTCCAAACATCCTTCTGCAGGCTTTGTGTACACATAGGTTTTCAAATCAGGTGACTGAATGCCAAGGAGTGCAGTTGCTGGATCACAGGCTAAGACTGTGTTTGGCTTTGTAAGAAATCGCCAAGCTGTCCTCCAAAGTGGCCGTGCCATCTTGCTTTCCCACCCATGTGGGTCACCAGCGTTCCATATTCTTGTCAATTTTTTCAGTTTTAGACATTTTAATAGGCATGTAGTAATGTCTCTTGTTTTAATTCCCACAAATGGAAAATGATGTTGAGCATCTTTTCATATCTACTTGCTTTCTGTGTATTTTCTTTGGTGAAGTATCTGGCTGGATCTTTTGTTGGTTTTTAAATTAGATTTTTTAAAAGTGTTTAGTTTTATGAGTTGTTTGCATATTTTGGATACAAGTCCTCTACCACATAGGTGTTTTGCAAATATTTTCTTCTTGTTTTTGTTGTTTTTTTCTCTTAACAATATATCTGCATAGTAATCTCTTTCATATAGTAGAAATTTTAAATGTTAATAAAGTGTAGTTTAACAATTTTTTTTCATGGATAGTGTACCTTCCTGAAAACTCATCACCAACCCTAAGGTCGTGTACACTTTTGCTATGTTTTCTTCCAGAAGTTTTATAATTGTTCATTTTACGTTTTGAGTTAATTAAATTAAATTAATTAATTTATTTATTGAGATGGAGTTTCGCTCTTGTTGGCCAGGCTGGAGTGCAATGGCACGATCTGACTCACTGCAACCTCTGCCTCCTGGGTTCAAGCAATTCTCCTGCCTCAGCCTCCTGAGTAGCTGGGATTACAGGCATGTGCCACCATGCCCAGCTAATTTTGTATTTTTAGTAGAGATGGGGTTTCACCATGTTGTTCAGGCTCGTCTCAAACTCCTGACCTCAAGTGATCCACTTGTCTTGGTCTCCCAAAGTGCTGGGATTACAGGCATGAGCCACCAGGCCTGGCCTCATTTTGAGTTAATTTTAATGTAAGGTGGAAGTTCTGGGTCTAGGTTCATTTCCTTTTTTTTGCATATGGATGTCCAAAATGGAATTGCCTTTGTGCCTTTGTCAAAAGTCAGTTGACTGTCTTTGTGTATGCTTCCTTCTGCTGTGTCTGTTTTGTTCCATGGATCTATGTCTTTTCTGTGGCCAATACCTCACTGGCTTGATTTCTGTAGCTTTAGAGTAAGGTAGTGAGAGTCATCCAACTCTTTCATCTTTAATATTCTGTAGTCTAGCCTTGGTCTTTTGCCTTTCCATTTAAACTTCAGCTATCAGTTGCTAATATTGGCAAAATAGCTTTCCGAGATTCTGATTGGGATTGTGTTAGATCCATAGATCAACTTGAGAATTCACACCTTGACAATATTGAGTTTTCCAATGCAAGGACAGAGAATGTCTCTATACTTATTTAAATATTTTATTTCTTTCATTATTGTGTTTTCCTAAAACACAGATGCTGCATATATTTTGTATGTTATTTTTTGTGCTATTATGAATGGTATTGTTTTTATAGTTTCAATTCCCAATTGTCTTTTGCTGATATATATGAGAAAATGAACTTTTGTATTTTAACCTTGCATTTTGTGACTGCACTATTATTGCTTATTATTTTTTAATTATTTGGGATTATCTATTAATACATAAACACCAATGCCATCTGTGAATAAAGAGAGTTTGATTTTTCATTTCAAATCTATGCCTTTTATTTTTTTTCTTGTCTTTTTTTGCACTAGTTAGGCCTTCTACTACGATCCTGAATGGGAGTGCTGGGGGACATGCTTGATTTGTTCTCAGCCTTAGAAGAAAGCATCCAGTCCTCACCATTAGGAGTCATGTCAACTGTAGGAGATTTGGGTAGATATTTTCTATTAAGTTAGAGGAGCTCCCTCTATTCCTAGTTTTCTAAGAGTTTTTATCTTGAATGTGCATTGACATTCGCTGTACGTTTTTTCTGCATCAATTGATGTGACCATATGCACTAACTTTACTTCCTACCGGGCAGTATCACCTGCCATCTGACATTCACTAGTTGCAGCTCTGAACTGTAGAGTTCGGCAGCCTATAGGCAACTAGACTTTTCTGAAAGTCTCAGTACCCAACAGAATTTAATTTAGATGCTTGTGGTCTATTGAGGCTAGCTCCGTACTAATGTTATATCTGCTACCAGTGGGAGTTTTACCAATGAAACGCTAGTATCTGCCACTTTCTAAACTACATCTCAATGAAAATGTTGCCTCTGTTGCGTTCGCTACATGCTTACACTCGTGAATCCCAGAGGTTGAGGTTACAGTCAGTAGTTTACACCACTGGTATTACAGCTCTGAGCAAATATAGCTTTATGTCTACATTGCCACACATTTACATCTATGATATTATATTACTTAGAGAAACTGCCATCCATCTGCATGTGTGATAATGCTCCATAATTTTTGATTAGTCAAAGGAGCTTTATTCCTCACAAATGGAAAAGAAGGAGAAAATATAACAGCTTTGTCAGTATGTTAAGTAGCTTACCTTTCCTCCTATATTTTCCCGCTTTCTTTTGTCCCCTGCAAACAACATCTGTTCACTATATTTTTGGTGTTTCTCACAAATAGAAATGAATAATTCAGCTTGACAGTGCAGTAGTCAAATGACACCTTTAGGCACTATTTACATCCAGTAAATAATTCTTTTTGCAAGGTAGATGGTGGAGACAGACCAGCAACTCCGAGGGTCCAGAAATGACTTATGGGTTTCCTAGCAGACTAGCTCCTGGGGCTAATTGTGACACATGGGAGGGTAAGAGCCTGGTTAGTTCTGTAGAGCTGACTTCAGTTCTCAGGGAATTTGAACAGTGATCTGATTGTTTCTTGAAATATGCACTTGTTGGTGACAGCCACATGTTTATTTGTTTTTCTACTCAATCCCTGAGAACATTAGAAACAATATATATTTAAATAGTTCCCAGCAGATAGATATTTAAAAAATATTACTAGAATTGTAATCATATGAGAAGTTCTGTAAAGAATTAAGTTCACATGATATCAAGACACATCAAACAATATTCCATTTCTATCTATTCTTCTCCAATCTTTTCTTTCATGTTATTATTTAATACAGAGTATAGGACTAATAGTAGTCAATAAATATTGTTTATTGATTGGTGACTCATTCTGTATCTTCATTTGCAAGTGGAGTTTTAAGAACATATCTCCATAAATATTCATGTAATTTCAAAGGGTATTTTCAAAGTTTTCATATTCTGGTGAGAGAGAAGTACTGGTAATGTAAACAAGTACAGTCTTTCTTGTTTTAAATTAAGTGAACTGCAAAGTTTCTGGTGTAATTTAAGTTTCCTGAAATAGTAAAAACAGCTTCCAAAGGAGCCTGAGGAGATAAAATATTATTGAAGAACAGAGAATTTAGGAGTCCTCATCCGTATTCCTCAGTTGTTGGAATTTCATGAAGAAGTAAAATTAAAAGATTGATATAAATTCATCAACTTTTAAAATCTGTTTAATTGGAAACAGTTGATACACACTCAAAACACAGAATGTGATCTATTATCACCATCTTTTGAAGAAAGACCCAACATTTAAAGATTTTTGTTCTTATGTTTCTTATTTTGCTGCAGACCAGTGAAAACCCGGTCACAGACTGTCTGCTGCCTCTCAGAACTAGCACAGCCCGCTCGCTTGCAGGTCTCCATGAGTGCGAGGGGAACAAGACCTTTGTGTGCTGAGGGCCTGCTGTGCAGGGGACTTTGTGGCATGTGTGTCTGCGTGTGTGTTTGTGGGGTGTGTGTAGAATGTTAATGTGTGTGGTGCATGTGTCTGTGTGTGTGTAGTGTGTCTCTGTGGATAGTGTGATAGCGTGTGCGTCTATGTCTGTGTGTATGGGTGTGTATGTAGCATGCACGGTGTGTGAATGGGAGTCCCTGTGTTTCTGTGTTTGTATAGTGTGTGAGTGTGTCTTTGTGTGTCTCTGTTCATATATGTACATGTGTCTATGTCTTTCTGTGTGTTTAGTGTGTGTGTCTCTGTGTGTTCAAAACAGTGTGTATATAATGTGTATATATGTGTATCTGTGTATGTACAGTGTGTGTAGTGTGTGTCTCTGTATAGTGTGTGAGTGTATATAGTGTGTGTGTAGTATGTGTAAGTGTAGTGTGTGTTTGTGTATAGTATTTGTGAGTGTATGTGTGTGCACATGTCTATAGATGTGAGGTGTGTGAGTGTGTGTTGTGGGTGTGTGTGTCTTTGTGTGTGTATAGTGTGTCTCTGTATGGTGTGCATACTGTGTATGAGTGTGTGACTGTGTATAGCATGTGTAGTGTGTGTGCCTCTGTATGTGTAGTGTGTGTGTCTGTGTGTAGCATGTGCAGTGTGTGTGTCCATGTATGCCGTCTATGTGTGTGAGGGTGTATACTGAGTATGTGTAGTGTGAGTATGTCTGTGTATGGTGTGTGTGCATGTGTGCATGTGTATAGTATGTGAGGTGTGTATGTTTATCTTGTGTGTCTATGTATAGTGTGTGTATCTGTGTGTATATTTGTGCAAGTAGTGTGTGCTGTGTGTGCATGTGTATAGTGTGAGTGTGTCTGGTATGTCTGTGTATAGTGTGTGTGTGTGACTGTGTATACTATGTGTGTGTTTGTATGGTGTGCAGGTGTAGGTGTGAGGGGTGTGTGTGTACGGTATGTGTCTCTGTACAGTGTGTGAATGCATACAATGTGTGTGGTATCTGTGAGTGTGTCTCCATGTGTACTGTTTGGGAGTGTGTGAGGGTTACAGTGAGTGTGTAGTGTGTGCGAGTGTGTCTGTGTATGGTGTAACATGTTATTTCCGATGCAAGCACTGTTGAAAGAGGTCCCACGGAGCCTGTAAGGCCTGGCCCAGGCCACTCCACCTGCATAACACGCGCATGTGTGGGTGCATAGTGTGAGTGTGTTTGTTTGTAGTGTGTATAGCAGCCAGCATGTTATGGTGTGTGTCTGTGTGTGTGCAGTGTGTACAGTGTATGTCTGTGTCTGTATGCAGTGTATGTACAGCGTGTAGTGTGTACATGTGTGCAGCATGTGCTGTGTATCTGTGTGGTGTGTGTATAGTGTGTCTGCATGTGTGCTGTGTGTGTTTGCGTGTGTATGCCGTGTGTGTATGGTGTGTGTTTGTGTGCATGTGTGTACAGTGTGTGTGCGTGTGTGCAGTGTGTGTAGTATGTACATGTGTGCAGCTGGTGCCGTGTGTGTAGTGTGTGTGTACAGTGTGTGTGCATGTGTGCAGTTGTGTACAGTGTGTATGTGTGTAGTGTGTACGTGTGTGCAGCATGTGTGGCCCTCTCAGGACCCCTGTCCAGTGAGAACACCGTCTTTGAGGCCCTCGTCCTCCGTGGGCCGGTCATCCCGGAGCACCTGGGCCTGTGCTCAATGGGGTTCGGGCTCAGGACGCGCGAGTTACGCTCGGTGCGTGCAGATGGAGCAGCCTGGCGGGACCTGGGGAGGCCCCATCGAGCTCCTTCCACAGTGCTTGCTTTGGAAATAACATCCCAAGGGGTCTGGGAGGAAACGGCTGCAAAGGCCACGTCTATGGGTCACGGATTTGGGGGAATTTTGGTTGGGAAGCACACGGCAGGGCGAGGGCAGGAACTCTGGCGTGGGCGGGACTGACCGCACAGCACCCAGGGCCTTGGGGCCCCGCTATGAGTTCGCCGGTCGGGACCAGGGTTCCTCCATGCTGGGGGACTGGAGCGGACTGGAGGTGGCTCCCACCCGAGGCTGACGGACCTGGAGAAACCCAATGTGTGTTTGGGGTCAGGGCGTGGTCAAGGCCCGGAAGGCAGTTCTGGAGACCAGTGGAGAGGCCAGAGGGCCCCGGGGAGAGGCCTGGGCAGAGCTGGGGCCCCCGGCCGGGCTGGAAGGTGAAGCTGGGGGACATTCTCCTAAGGATGCGGATACCACAAGGGGTCAGGAGCCCACTCAGGGGCCCCGCTGCGCGATGGTGCAACGGGACCTGCACTCAGGACCCCCACACCAGGGGCCCGGGGCCGTGCTCTGCCCCACACCCAAAGATCCTGCGTCCACGGACCGCTTTCCTCTCCTCCTTCCCCTCGTCTTCATTTGCATGGAGTCTCTTGGGAGGGCGTAAATATCACAGTGACTTGGTCTCTTTAGGTCTAATTCATGTAAACCATAATTAAAGATGGGTTCCCACCTGGCTCGCATCGACATGCAGGTTGCCTTAATTCTTAATTTCCTGACATTTATTTGCCCCTGCTTGACTGCAACGGGACCTGAACCAAGAATCTGATGATGCGTGGAACGCCAGGAGAAGCTCGAATCCCTGCCTGGTAGAGGCTGGTTTTAATCGCTGCCTGAGATCAGCGACAAGGTTGAAAATATTATCAAGCTAAACTTTTCAGTCTAGTTCCACTTCCTCCCAAAAGGATTGCTGTATGAAATTAATAGGATTACAGATAATCCCTGAAAGAGGCAGGATTAACACTGAACATAAAACCAACTGATATCAATTTCCCTAACACTTGAAAAATCAGCGTCTTGTAGGGGAGGCTGCGGGCTGCCCGGAGACCCTGCTGGGGAGAACACGGATTTCATCCCGTTGACAGGCACATTTCCTCCTCCAAAAGTCAGGAAATGTTACGACGGAGACTGTCGCTCAAAACCCTCTGCCGGTTTAGAAATGCGTTGCTGTTCTTTCCCCGCAATACTCGCAGTTTAATAAGGAGCCCTTATGTGTACACTCAAGGTTGCTTTTAGCTGTTGAAGAATTAGGAAATTAGGGTTCCATCGGGTAATTTTTGGAAGAAAAGAAATATTTCCTATGCAAGTGGTCTGTGTAAAATTTGTTGCTATTTCATTAAAACATTCTGTTTTGTGTCCTTCCTCCCACTCTCCTCTCTTCCGCTGCCCAAGCCCTCTCTCTATCTCTCTCTCCCTCCCTCCTCCTCCCCCTTCCTCCCCCCTCCACCCTCTCCTCCCCCCTCCACCCTCTCCTCCCCCCTCCACCCTCTCCTCCCCCATCCACCCTATCCTCCTGCTTCTCTTCCTCCTCCTCTTCCTTCTTTTTTCTTCTTTCTTCTCCTCCCACCCACCTTTCTCATTCTTTATCCCTTCAATAACTTGCAAACATTTCTCCTCATTTCCAACTAGGGTTTGGAAAGACAGTTCAGGCCTTCAAATACATGAAATACCTAAGAGTAGTGGGAAGGCGGCTGTGACGCTCTCCCGGTCCGCAGGTTCACTCACTTTGCCATTTTCGGGGGTGGAGGATGTGGATGATGGTGCATATGTGTTCCGGTGCTGAGTACCCATTTGAATGCAGAAGCAGAGAGATATTCACTTATTATCAGTTTTCTGCATTACTTCATTTCATGACGTTAAAACAATTGCTGCCAAGGGGCTCAGCTGTCCACAACCAAGAGATTGAGAGCTCCAGTGATAGAAGGTAGCAATGTTATTCAGAGGAACACACTACGTCATTTTCTGACTTAGAGAAAAAGGCGACTCACAGGAGACTCAGAGAAGAGGGAGTTCTTCAAAAGTTAGAAACATGAGTGAAAAACAGAGTTACTAAAACAAACAGATAAGCTTATGATGGGTGCAGTAGGAGCTCCATGAAGTTGTTAATTACTTCTTAAGAAAGCTACTCGCATCTCCCGGGTGTAAAGTTTCCTCTCTTAAACGCATCATAACATTAATCAACAATGTGTTTTCTATGACTCTCCATGAGAGCAAAACAAATCAGTGTGGTTAATCTGCACTTCTGTTGTGGGGTCTCCCAACCCTCCGTCTGGTGTGAAAACACATAGAGACACATGCACTGGTTCTCTGCTGGCTACATTGTTTCTCCTCTTCACAGTTCAAGATCCTAGCTCTTCGTGGAAGCATTGGAGTGACACCATACTTACAAATATTTCTAAGCTTCGGTTCTTGAGGCCAATGAATAGATTAACAAAAAATATGCATTACCTCTTCAACTCTGAAGCTATGGTCCTATTGTAAAAAAGAAATACGTGAAAACACATACAGCTTTCTGAGTAGCCTGTTTTAGTTTTTCAGTTTGAAATTTTTTGGAAGACAGTACACTAAACAGAGATCTTAAATGACCATTTGTAGAAACATTTAGATGTGCAAAAAATCAAATCGAACAACTTTTAATAATACTTTACTGCCAGAGGAAAATAAAATTGGAGTTGCTACTATAAAATAAAAAGCAATCAACAACTTTCGGGGGCTGTTTCTTTTCTTTTCTTTTCCTTTTTTTTTTTTTTTTTAACAGGATCCTGCTCTGTCACCCAGGCTGGAGGGCTGGAGTACAGTGGTGTGATTGCAGCTCACTGCAGCCTCAATCTCCCAGCCTCATGTGATCCTTCCAGCCAGCCTCCTGAGTAGCTGGGACTACAGGTGCATGCCACCACGCCTGGCTAATTTTTTGTTTTTTTTGCAGAGATGGGGTCTCACTGTGTTGCCCAGGCTGGTCTCAAATTCCTGAACTCAAGATATCCTCCTGCCTCAGCTTTCCACCGTGCTAGAGTTCCAGGTCTTAGCTGCTTCTTAAGGACCTATCTCAAATGATGCAAAGCAGAGGAAAAAAATTCAATGTTTCTAGAAGGAAAACAAGAATAACTGTCTATTATTTGTGAAAGTAATAAGTGGAACTATTAGGGCTAGGAAATATGGCCCTTGATCCTCAAAGCCTGACCATGGTCAATGCATTAAGGTATAAAGCTCTATTTGCAAGAGGGGATTGGGGGGAAACTTGATCACTAACAATAAGACTTAATTCTTGTTCAGTAACAGTTATTTCATAAGGAGATGATAAGGTCATAAAAAATTGAGAATTCAATAAACTTTAAGCAGCCTTGTTAATATAAATTATTTATATTTTATTCAAATAAACAGTATTGAAGCTTCTACCTGAAAATGTAATTCTTAAATTTTAAGATACTCTGGATTTAACAAAAACCAAAGGACAGGCTCTGGTAAAATAAGAGCTACCTTCCTTTAACATGTTTCTTTACCCAACTTACTCCAGGATCCACGTGTCTCCTAGAGCCCTTCTAGAATGTTCCATCCAGACTAGACGTGAAAAGCATGATGTTGAGTAGTGGCTGCAATTCACCGCGTGTTCAGTCTCGATGATGCTCTTTCAGGCATTATAAAACGACTCAGAGAATTGATGTGTTCAATCTCCACCACACTCTCCCAGGTGGTATAAAGCAACTCAGAGAACTCACGTGTTCAGTCTCCACGACGCTGTCCCAGGTGTTATAAAACGACTCAGAGAATTGACTATTCAGTTATAAAATGACTCAGAGAATCGATAATTTTGGTTCATTGTGTTTGGTTATTTAAATTTGTTGCCTCCACATGAAAATTTTTGCCCCTACTTTGCCCCAAACCACTTCTGAGACACATTTAAGTGTCAGTCTCCAGAACAGGAAGAAATCAGCAGCTTCTGTGTCTCTGAAGAAGACACAGGATTCACTTTCGTCTCAGGCCTCATACCCCGCTGTGGGTGGTGTGCTCCAGTGCCAACTTTCTGGAGGACGATTTGGGGGCACATACGAGAAAGGTTTAAAGTGTACAAAATGCCAACCCAGAGATTGCACTTCCAGAAATGTATCCGCAGAAAAGAACCAGACACATACACACTTTTTGCAAATATAGAATTACAAAAGCCTTCTTGTAAACACGTACTGTTGTTTGAAACAAGTAGGAATTAAAAAAAAAAATCCTGGCTTGTCCAATGTAGTGGTTATCAGAACTGATTAACATTGGTGTCACTAAAGTTGGTACACGACCCCACACTGCTAAATGTGACTGGCTTAACAATAAACATAAATTGCCTGAAATGGGAGATTTTTGTGAAGAAATTATGGAGTGGCATGGCACGAATACTGGACAGACACTGAAGACGAAGCTGATGTGTGTCCGTTGACTAAGAGGACATGTAAGGTATGCTGTTAAGGGAAGAGTCGGTTATGGGATAGCAGGTCTGGGACATCAACTGGGTGTAGGGTGTTTGGGCATGGAAATCTGTATCTGGATCTTTCCTGCCATTGCATGCAGGTAGGAACGTATCTGGATGGATAGACGCCAAAATGCTCACGGTGTCACAGTACATGTCGCTGGGGGTACACAGGAATTTTTAAAATACTTTTCTATGTGTTTGGTTTTTATCCCTCATTTGTAAATGTAACAATGAAGATGATTTCATTTAAAATATTTTCCTTTTTCTTAAGGAGTATGAGGGCAGGACCTTGTCATATTCACGATTTCTGCCTCAATATTCATTGTGGTGGGGTCACAGAATAGGGCTCAACCCCAGCACTGGTGAGCATGTGGCCTGAGGTCTGGTCTGTCCAGAAGCAGTTGCAATGGAGCAGGTGTTCCTGACCTCATTTATCGCCCGCGCCCTCTTGCCAGCACAGTGGGAAGAACAAGGGAGTAACAAACCCAAACATGCAACGGTTTTGATCTGTTCTTGGCAAGAGCAGTGACGTCAGAATGAAGGTACAGACATGGGGACACAAATTTCATAAAATGTATGTCACTTCACTTTACCTAGCCACAGCATGAGGGCCTAATAAATATTGTAATACATTGGGCTGGGTACATAGAGCAGGTGTTCCTATTCAGAGAGTGGTGTGGCTACTGGCGTGTGTGGGAGAAGGGACATTTCTCACGTGCAGCAGCCACACGCCCAAGCCTGGTCCAAGCCCTGGAAAAACAACCCAGTTTCCATGTTACCATGTGGATGGCCCGGCTCTTACCTGCCTCCAGCCTCCTGCTCTGGTTTCCCACACAGCGATTCTCTGTGAGGTTACCAGGAGCTCAGCTTTGAAGGATCCATTGGGAGCCCATGGAGCTCAGCAGGGTAGGAAATTGCTCGTGTCTGCTACTGAAGGCTCTAAGCTGGAAGGAGGCAGAATCAATTGCAAACATGGTGCTCGTCTTCCAGTGTACAATTTGAAAGTTCAAACAGTTGTCTCTCTCTACCCTGTATTGTAGGAATAAGAAGCTTTGCTGCTGAAGAGAGGAAGAGGAAGAAGGATGTTGAAAAAGAGGTGGTTTGTTGTCAAGGCTTCAAAACTCTTCCCCAAATTTGAAGTGAACTGCAGGTTCCCTTGCTGTGACGTGGCCTCACACCTGCCTCTCTCATTAAATTTTGCAGAACTCCCCAGCAAAACCATTCCTTGCTTGGCTCTGCAGGAGACTGAGGAAGCTATTGCCTGTTGCCAGAGCAGGACCAGCTCCCAATGTTACAGTGTCACCTCTCACATCGCCCAGCCTTATTTTACATGCATTTTTGTCTTCCGAAAACGATTCTTTTAAGATCTGCAGTCACTCAAATGAACAGGCATGAATGCACAGTACAGTTTATCAAAATTGGAAAGCCTTCCAGGGGAACAAGCTTGCTTTTGTAAAGTCAAGCTCAATCTTGAGTAACACTTCCCTGTTCACAAGCCCTGGTTCACAGTGTGCTAAGTCATCTCAGGCATGCCAGGAACCTGCCCTGCCCTCCCGCGGCTCTTGGGGCCCTGCCAGAGAGCTGTGCTGTTGGCACTGTAGGCTCTCTCTGGTGTTTCTAGGGACAAATCTCCATGAATAATAGAGACAAAACACGAAAAGCAAAACAAAAACAACCACCAACCTTGTCATAATTCTGTGTGGCTGTCCATCTTAGTGAATCCCTGTGTCTTGGCACCTGTGATCATTATTTCATTGATCTGTGAAAAGCTTTGATGGAACATTGGCATTTATATTGAGGTAGACGCACCAGATGTGCGCTAACCTTTCAGATTTTCCAGCTGTCTAGTGTCAAAAGCCAATTTCCAAAGGAAAAAAAGATCAACAGTTAACACTATTATTTCAGAGCTCAGTGTCAAAATGTCAAAAGAAAGCAGAAAAGCCTCGGAGAACATGCAGTGTGGGGTTTCCATTTGGAAGCTAAGCAGCCAGTTTCATGCGCTTTCAGAGAAAAACACGTAAAGTTTTGTGTTTTGATGATCAGTTTTACACTTTTTCAGACTTCCCTTTTCTTGCCTTGACGGCTGACTGCAGTCACCCCGGCAAGGAAAAGTTAAAGAGAATCTCAGACACTAATTGCCACCAGGAAGATGGATGTTGAGAAAATATTTGGGGAGAATATTGTCCTGAGTCCTAACCATCCAGGTGCCTCCAACACACTATATTTATGAGCTGGTTGCACATGAAGAATTTCCACTGTGAGGGGCCAGCAGTGGCATTTCCAAAAATTAAAGGGGGTCACCAAATTGGCTGTAGACGTTTGAGCGTCCCTGGTGTCATCCTGGCCCTGGCTGGGCGGACAAAAGCATCTTCCCATAGCTGTGCCGGAGAGGTGAGGCTGCCAGACGAAATACAGGACACTGAATATTGCATGCAGCATTTTATGCTAAAAACTATTCTTTGCTTATGTAAAAATTTAACCAGGCAACCCATGTTTTTATTTACTAAATCTGAAGATTTTAGGCTGAGGACACAGACTTGGACTCAGACCTGCCTTCCAGTGTTGACATTCCTTTCCCAAGCTCTGTGATCCCCATGGAGTCTGGGATGATCTCATTCATATTCCCGCATCTGATGGTATGTTATGGGGTAGAGAGTGTGCATTCAACACGCCCAGTGCAGGGAAGCTCTGAGGACCAGAGCAGCTGTGACTTGTACCCTCCTTAGACTTTCCATCTTTCCAATGGCACCCCTGCATTCCGGGAGGCACGAGGGGGCTGAGTCCTGGAAGGCACACGAGAGAAGGGGTGAGGCAAAGCTCCTGCCTGAAGATGCCCACAGTGGAGGTGAACATCTGTGTCTACGGAGAACGCTGAAGCCACTCTGCTTTTGTCATTTCTTTGCGGGGATTTCTCTAAAATCTGAGATGAAGGCTTTGTTTCCTACACGACAGTGTCTTTCTCAGGCAACTGTCAATTTCTCACGGTGAGAAGGGTTTTGCTGTGTGGTGTGTGGACGTTCCTCACTGGGATCAGTGCTCTGTCCATAGACGTGGGGAAGAGCATCTGGCCTGGAACATGTGTGTTCTTCCCGCAAGGAGTTTCTGAGGAAACGCAGAGACTAGGGCCGTCTGGAGGCCGTGCTGAGCTGCGGGCTGCATTTCCTTCTGCAGGCCCCATGCAGGAAAAGACTCCCATGCTCCCGCAGGCCAGTTTTGAACCTGGTCAGTAGAAAATATTTCCCTTTAAATGGAAAATATTTCCAGAGGCACAGGCAAGACTCAGTCCAAGCATCTTGGGGAGGGACCCCTGCCTCCCCTAGCCCTGGCCCCTCTCTCTGCTCTGAGCATGCACATTCCTTAACCCGCAGCCGTGGGTTCCTTGGAGCTGCCCCAAGCAAGTGCCACAGACTAGTTGACTTAAAACAGCAGGCACTGATTCCCTTGCAGCTCTGGGGGTGGGAAGCCAATACTAAGGCGTGTGCAGGGCCATCATCCCCTCTTGGATGTCTCTCAGGGAGGAGCCTTCCTGCCTGTTCCAGCGTCCCGTGCCCCCGGTGCTCCTGGGCAGTGGCCACGTCACTCCAGCCTCCACCTCCATCTTCAGCGACCATTCTTTGTCCAAAGGACACTGGCCATTGGATTTAGGGTCCACCCTTGTCGAGTACGACTCATCTTACTGTAATTACAGCCACAAAGACCCCTTTTCCAAATAAGTCTACATTCAGTTTCCAGGGCTTAGGACTTGGAGTCGTCTTTTTCGGGGACACGACTTTGGTAAGTACCCCAAGACAATCTGGTACTTACCGCCTGTGCCCAATTGCTCTCTGTGGCTTCCTCGGCATCTGCGTCATCTGTGATGAGCATGAGTGACATTTCTGCGAAGAGGGGGTTGAGTTTACCTGAAGCTCTAGGGTTCTTCTCAAGCAAGAAAACAGAAAGTAAAACCAAAATAAAGCAAAGCAACTGTCTGCATGCTCAGACTTACGTAAAGTTATGAATGAACAATGATTTCATAACTGTCTGGGTTTGCCACATCTGCTAAACATTTCCTGTGGGCCTTTCTCTATTGGTTTGGAAAAAGCTCTCCTTCCTCTCCATTAGCCTGGCTCCATTTGTGTGCATTAGGCTCAGTGGGAAACAAAACCAAACTCAACAAAGCAAAATGACATCTTCAACTGAAACTGGTGGCCCCTGAGGGACCCTTATGAGTCATGAATAAAACAAACCAGGCAGCCGGGCGCGATGGCTCACGCCTGTAATCCCAGCACTTTGGGAGGCTGAGGAGGGTGGGTCACGAGGTCAGGAGTTAGAGACCAGCCTGGCCAATATGGTGAAACCTTGTCTCCAGTAAAAATACAAAAATTAGCCGGGTGTGGTGGCACGCACCTGTAGTCGCAGCTGCTTGGGAGCTGAGGCAGGAGAATCACTTGAACCTGGGAGGCGGAGGTTGCAGTGAGCCGAGATTGCACCATTGCACTCCAGCCTGGGCGATAGAGCAAGACTCCATCTCAAAACAAAAAAACAACAACAAAAAAACCAAAAACAAAAAAAGAAACAAACCAGGCATTAATGATTTGCTGAACCGATACCCTCCCCCAACACTTTTAAGTTTGCCTGGTTTGTGCCTGGGCATCACGAGGGAGGGAGGGCTGGCTGTGGCCAGGGCACGGGGGAGAGGGCAGGCAGTCATGCCGGGCGCCGGCACCCCAGGGTCAGGGCGCAGTGGGCGGTGTGCAGACGTCCCTTGGCCATGGGTCCCATAGCACCTCACACCTCTTCTGCGAAGCTTCACACCCACGCCCTCTTCAGCCTCTGTTCCTTGCTCTCCTGGATTCCCAGAGCTGGCTTGAGTGGAGACGTGCGGTCACTTACTGCTTCTCCTTGGCACTGGTGAATTTTCTTCATAGTTTTTATGCGACAAGGAACTCCTGATTAGGGGAGCTGCCCCTCTGATCTGTTAAGAGTCTTGCTACTAGGTCAGGGTGAGAAATGACTGTAAACATGTGGGAAAACATTTTCATGGTCCATTTTCAAGGCATGGTAGATCTAAATACTGGTAGCCAGTCTGCACATGTGACAAACGGCATGGCTCACGTGCAGCAAAAGTCAGGATAAGCAAACAGGATGCAGAGGAGGGGACAGCCCATAAAACGGAATAAAGTTTCATTATTGGGAAATCAAAACTTAAGCAGGAAAGGGGACCGGGGTATGACCCTGTAAGGGGATATGGAACTTAGGCGACATCCGGGAAGATTGTAACCCCACAGTACTTGATCAGTGGGGAACTGGAGGAGGGACTTGCGTGCTAGGAGATAAATTACCTGCTGTAGCTGCCGCAGGTGTGCCTGCCTACCAGACACGCCATCTTCAAGACCGCCATTAAAGGTCTTCCTTCCGTTGTTCTTTGGGTCTCTGAGTCCATTCTTTGGGTTTGGATGGGTGAATGTGTTTCTCACAAAACATTTTTATTTGAAATAATTACAGATTTTCAGCAAGTTGCAAAGCACACACACAGGAAGGTCTCATGCCTCCTTCACAGCCTCCGATGAAGGGTGACTTTTTTTTGAGACAGAGTCTCGCTCTGTCGCCCAGGCTGGAGTGCAATGTCATGATCTTGGCTCCTTGCAAGCTCCGCCTCCCGGGTTCACGCCATTCTCCTGCCTCAGCCTCCCGAGTAGCTGGGACTACAGGCGCCCGCACCATGCCCGGCTAATTTTTTTTGTATTTTTAGTAGAGACGGGGTTTCACCGTGTTAGCCAGGATGGTCTTGATCTCCTGACCTGGTGATCTGCCCACCTCGGCCTCCCAAAGTGCTGGGATTACAGGCGTGAGCCACCGCACCCGGCCGACGGGTGACATCTTGCAAACCCATAGTGCAGGGTCGCAGGCGGGAGCTTGACATCCATGCATCTGTAAAGTGTGGACAGTTGTCACCAGCTATACATGTGTGTCTCTGTGCGAGTCTGCGTGGGGGTCCATGCAACTTTGTCATGCCTGTCCCTTCTTTTCTCCATGTTATATGCCCAAGAGTGCAACCACAGGGTCACGCGGTAGGTCCATTTTTAGTTTCAAAAGGAAACTACCAAATATTTCCAGAGCGGCTGTACCATTTTACGTTCTCACCAGCAATGTGGTTATTCTTACGTGTGTATTTTTATATGTAACTTTAGTATCAACTTGTCAAGCTCCATAAAAATGTCACTGATATTTTTATTGGAATCAATTAAATGTATAAATTAATCTAGGAAGGACTCACAAACTGATGAAGTTGAGATGTCCCAACTGAGAACAAAGGTATTTTCTATGTAGTCAGTATAATTCTGTGTCTCATAACTGGCTTTAAAAATTAAAAAGATATGAGAATTTTTAATATTCCTGAATGTTCTGAGAATATGATTTCTATAATTAGACATAGTATTCCTTAAGTGGATATAAATGATTGATTCACACATTCATTAATTTGGTGTCCTGTGTTTTCAGTGTCAGAAGGGATGCTATGATACGGAGTCTTGCCTTTCTGTCTCTTAGAATCACCATGTTTGAATTATTGATTTTTACTTATTTGTTTTATCTGAGAGTCTTTACCTTTAAGTGTGGCATTTAACCTATTCACTTTTTAATATTGTTTGTTAATATAGCTTGTTTTAACTTCTGTTTTCTTGTTTTACACTTATTTATTCTTTTACTTTAGCTACTTTTCTGTATAACCTATAGGGTTTTTGATATTTTTCTTCCTTGCAAATGAAAAATTACAATCTGTTTTTATCCTAGAAGTGTTAATCTGTATGTCTTAAAAAGATTTAAACTTAAATTGCTCCTGTTATGAAACTTTTTAAAAAGAAATTAATATACTTATTTTGTACATTTATAGTTAGAAATATCTCTAATTCTTGTTCTTATTATTAGTGTGTATTGACACAATCTTGGATTTTAGAACCAGATTACTATTCAGTTATTTACTTTAAATTATTGTACCTTTTTTCTTTAATCATCTTCTTTTAATTAAATTTCATGCTATACTACAATTGTTTGGATTTATCTCACTTTTAGTGGTTTCTTTCCTTACAGTTACTTCTATTATGCTGTGAATCCGCCATTCTTGAGGTTTTTATTTATTTACCTTTATCTACTTTTGCAGCGTAGGAAGAGTGGTTTATGAGCATCTGCTTCTCTGTGATGCCTGCTCCTTCCCTCCTTCCTTCCCTCCCTTCCTTTCCTTCTTTCCCTGCTTCCCTCCCTCCCTCCCTCCTTCCCTTTCTCTCCTTCTGTTGTGGCTTTTTTCTACCACCTGAAGGATGGCCAACTTGGATGAATATATTTTCCTCTCAAAAGCCTACAGATTGTTCCTTCTTGAACCCTAGTGCCTGGCAAAAAGCATGAGTGTGGTAAAAGCATGAGATCTGTTTGCGGGTCACCTTCCTCCCTGCCTAAAGGCTGGCATTGTTTTCCCTCCACTCTGCCCTTGGTGGGCTCTTTCTGGGTGGAAGCCCCTGCATTCTTACACTGTTCTTGAACGTGGTGTTGTCTTTTGATTTGCAGATGGAAGAGCAATTTTCAATCTGGTAAAGGGCATCAGTTTGCTGGGCTGCCGTAAGGAAATACAACAGCCTTCCTAGCTTAAACAGCAGGAACTATTTCTCATAGTTCTAGAGGCTGGGAGTCCAAGATCAAGGTGCCAGCAGGCCGGTTTCTTCGGAGGCCTCTCTGTGGGTGAAAGCCGTCTCCCCACCATGGCTGCACATGGCGTTTCCCCTGTGTATGTCCGGTCTTCTCATGAAGACACCAGCCAGACTGGGTCAGAGCCCACCCTGTGACCTCATTTTACCTTAATTACCTCTTTAGAAAGGCCCTATCTCCAAACACAGACACATTCAGAGGCACTGGGGGTTATGGCTTCAACATAACAACTAAAATTTGAATTTAGTGTACATTTATAACAAAGTTGGGGGACACAGTTTAGATCCCACGGGAAGTTAAGGTTTTAAAATTATTTTCTTGGTTATTTTCTCTATGTACTTTTGCCTCTTTAAGTTCTATTATGTGGACATTAATTTCAAAGTCCATCTACCTCTCAGCTGTAATTTTAATCTATCTTTTGCTTTCATGGATGGGAGAGATTCTTGTTCTTTATATTTTACTGACGTAGTCGATAGCTGATTCTGTTGTTTTAAATGCAGCAATGCAGGCTTCAAATTCTCAAGGTTTCTTCCTCTTCTTGACTTCCCACTCTATTTTTAGATGACTGAGCTTATCGATCTCACCAGAAAAATGACTTACAAATTTTAAAGTGCTCTGTTTCTTGTGGTAAGTATTTTTGTAGGGGGATATTTGATCTTATGCTACAAAAGAATTATTGCAAGAATCAGAAAAGGACTTTTTCTTTTCATTCTTAGATCAAACATGACCCTATACAATAGTTACTGTAAGAAATAGGAATATACTACAAATGTACTCATTTCACTACCACAAAATTTTTATAAAGAAAGCCAAACCCAGCTTCTATTTGAATATTCACGAGCTGAAATGATGATTGGAAGAGCAAAATTAGTGATGGGAACAGAGTCAGGGCACATCACAGCCACTCCCAGGAGAGACTTCCAAAGCCGAGAGGCTGTGGGTGAGAAGAATCAGGAAATGGCTTCAGTGATGGTGCCTCTTCATGCATTTAAAAGCCCCCAGGGCCGGGCACGGTGGCTCACGCCTGTAATCCCAGCACTTTGGGAGGCCGAGGAGGGTGGATCACCTGAGGTCAGGAGTTCGAGAGCAGCCTGGCCAACATGGTGAAACCCTGTCTCTACTAAAAATATAAAATTAGCCAGGTGTGGTGGTGGGCACCTGTAATCCCAGCATCTTGGGAGGCTGAGGCAGGAGGATCTCTTGAACCCAGGGGGAGGAGGTTGCAGTGAGCCAGGATTGTGCCACTGCACTCTAGCCTGGGCGACAGAGTGAGACTCTGTCTTAAAAAAAAAAAAAAGCCCTTCATGTATCAGCAATAATCTTCAAGGCTTTGCTCTTTTGCTCTTCCTTCTGAGTCTGCAGCAGTCAACACTGAACCAGAAATGCAGGTGGCTCAAGGAAAATGCAGAGGCCCCCTTCCCCTCTGGCCCTGCCTATGGCACAGGCGGCTCAATGAGGCATAGGGCCAGCAAGCAAATCCCCCACCCACCCTGCCCTTCCCAGGAGGAGGAGACAGTTCCAGAAATCTTGTTCTGGAATATCCAGAGTCTAACGATGCTGCTTGGGCGCATCCTACATTGTGAGAATTCTCAGTGTGAGCCAATCGGCCACGGGTATTTTCCAGCATATGAGAGCCGGTGATTGAGCGTAACTTGCACAGGTGCCCAGCTCTAGAGGCAACAGGGGTCTCTGGAATTCAGCAGTGTTGAAATCACTTATTCTCTGGGTTTCACAGAGTGGAAACAGTATCCACACACGAAGCCAACATGTTTATCAGTTAGCTTTCGCATGCGGGCACATAAGACTATATGACTTTTACAAATTAACCAAAGAAATTATGCATTGTGATGTACTCTAAAAAATGTTCTGCAATACTAGATCTTGAGCATTATAATAAATTCTGACAACATCGCTACCTGTTGATTATTTTTTCTGTGGCTGCCCAATGTGGCTGTCATTTCTCAAAGGTGCAAAGACAGATTACTCCCTCAAGGGTCTTAGAGGTGCATTCCTTGGGGTACCCTATGTGGCTGGCTTTCCATGACTAGGATTTCCAGATGAAGGAGACACAGCTGTGTGGGGGGCTGCCCTGACTGGGAGTGGCCTGACAATTTTATTCTGTGTTAGTCACTGCAAGACACAGGCAGTCCCCGTTTTTTTTTTTTTTTGTTTTTTTTTTGGACAGAATCTCACTCTGTCACCTGGGCTGGAGTGCAGTGGTGCGACCTCGGCTCACTGCAACCTCCACCTCCCAGGTTCAAGCAACTCACCTGCCTCAGCCTCCTGACTAGCTGAAATTACAGGCGCGCTACTACACCTGGCTAAGTTTTGTATTTTTAGTAGAGACAGGGTTTCACCATGTTGGACAGGCTGCTCTCGAATTCTTGATCTCAGGTGATTCACCCGCATTGGCCTCCCAAAATGCTGGGATTACAGGTGTGAGCCACCGTGCCCAGCCAGTCCCTTTAAAGGGACAGAACACATCTTCTCAACTGGCCAAACTGAAGATCAGACAGGAGAGGGGACAGGGATAAGGGGGTGGCATCCATCTGCACTTGGAAAAGACAGCCACGTTGGGCAGCCACAGGAAAATAACCCACAGGGAGCAGTGATGTTGTCAGAATTTATCATAATGTTCAAGATTGAGTATTTGTAGAACTTTCTGAGCATGTACCACAATGCATAATTGCCTTGGTTTATTTGTGAAAGTCATATAGTCTGAAGCATCCATATACAACTGAAAGTGCAACTCCAGGAGGGCAGGTGGATTGGTATTCCCAGAAATAAGTCCCTCCACAGGGGAGGGGGTAGATTTGAGGAAGTTATTATTTCAGTGATTCTGACTAAAGAATTTCCTTTATTCTGATTATTTTTTGAGATGGGATCTCACTCTGTCACCCAGGCTGGAGTATGGTGGTGCCATCACGGCTCACTACAGCCCCGACCTCTGTGGAGGGGCATTTGGATTATTTCTGGTATTTGGCTGTTATGAATTAAATGTCGTGGACATCTACATACTACTCTTTGCATGGACAGAGGTTTTTGTTTCTCTTAGGAGTAAAGGTCTGGCTCTTATCATTGGGCAAATGTTTAACTTTAAAAAAAAAGCTGCTGAACTGATTTCCGAAATGACCTGTCCATGGTTCAAGCCATCCATGCATTAGAGTTCCAGGGGCTCCACATCCTCACCTACATGCCTGTGGTCAATCTTCCTCACTCTAGCAGAGTGAATGGGCCCAGCGTCACCTTGCTGTGGTTTAGCTTACACTCCCCTGACGGCTGGTGGAGCTGACCATCCTTCCATACGATGTGTCTGCTCAAATCGTTGTGCAACGTTTAGTGGGTTGTTAGTGTTCTCATTATTGAGTTATAAAAGTAGTTTATATATCCTAGATACAATTTCTTCATCTAGTGTATGTGTTGTAAACATGGTCTTCTAGTCTGTGTCTTGTTTTTCATTTTCTCAGTGGTGTCTTTCAAAGAGCAAAAGTTTTTAAATTTCATAAAGCTTAGTTTATCCATTTTTTTCTTTTATAATTTGAGCTCTTTGCATTCTGTTTAAGAAACCTAAAACTACCTGATTTTCATGAATACTTTTTCTGCAGAGTCCTTGTTGAGTTTTAGGTTTTACATTTAGGTCTGTGACTCATTTTGCATTAAATTTTGCATGTGATGCGAGGTAACAGTTAAAGCTCATCTTTTCATAGGATATCCAGCTGATCAACACCATTTAATGAAAAGGTTATGCGTTTTCCAGCGGGTTTCTTGGGCACTTTAATTGCAATTCAGTTGACCATGTGTGTGGGGCCCTGTTTCTGGATTCCTTTCTGTTCCGTTCATCTATTTCTCTATCTTTCCACCGATACCAAAACAAACTACCTTGATTAATATAGCAGAATTGTTAAGACCTGAAGTAAGGTACAATACATCTTCCAGCTCATTTATTTTCTTTTAAAAGTGCCTTGATTATTCTAGATTGTTGACATTTCCATATACATTTCAGAATCAACTGTCAATTTACATTGCTATTTTATTTGGATTGTATTTTATCTGTACAGGATTGTTACTTTTTTGTTTTTTCATTTTAAGGTTTGGATCCACTTCCTTCTGGACTGTGTGGTTTCTGATGAGAAATGCTTGGTGATTCACATCACTGTTCCCCTCTACATAATTTTACATTTTTCTCTGTTTTAAAACTATTCATAGTTTTATCTTAGAAAATTGGGCTTTCAGGCTAGGTTCAGAAACTTAGGCTTTCAGAATTTTGATTCCAATGCCTCGGGCCATGTTCTCTGCTCTGATCCTGTTTAGTTTTTGGAGACTTTTGAATCTGCAAGCTCATGTTTTCTGCCGGATTTGACACGCTTTCTCGTGTCATTTCCTCCAGCACGATTCCGTGTCCCGATCACTCTTGTCTCCTGGACTCCAGCGGCCAGTCTGGTCTTTCCCGATCACCCCACAGGCCTCTGAGCCCCGTTCACTGTTGTTTCCTTGCTCCTTTTCCATGGGTGGTGCTTATTCATCTGTGCTTGAGGCTCCGGTTCTTCTCTGTGTCCTCTTCATTCTGCTGTTGAGTCTGTTAGGTGCATTATTTCAAGTTTTTATTTTTATGGGTAAATATGGGATTTTTTCCTAAGGAAAAAATATAAATAATATATAAAATACGTGTAATATATATCATATATAAAAGTATATGTAAAATACATGATACGTAAATTTATTATATACAAATATATATAATTTATATTAAAATATATACAAATGCTTGAGGGGATAAATACCCCATTTACTCTGATATGATTATTACACATTGTATGTATGCCTGTATCAAAATCTCTCAAGTAACCCCCTCATATATATAATAAATACATAAATATATCGTATATAGAGAGTAGCTCTCTCTATGTAAAATATATATATGAAAACATATATATAAACATACATATATATTTATGAGGGTACATGAGATATTTGTATACAGGCATACAATGCGTCATAATCACATCAGGATAAATGGGGTCTCCATCCCCTAAAGCATCTATCATTTCTTTGTGTTACATACATTCCAATTATGCTTATTTTAAACTGTTCAATAAATTATTGTTGATTGTAGTCAAATACTATATCTTATTCACTCTATTTTTTTTTGTATCCATTAACCATGCACACTCCCCCTCAACTACGCTTCCCAGCCTCTGGTAACCATCCTTCTACCTCCATCTCCATGAGTTCAATTGTTTTAGTCTTTAGCTCCCAAAAATGAGTGAGAACATGTGAAATTTGTCTTTCTGTGCCTGGCTCATTTCATTAACAGAATGACCTCCCGTTCCATCCATGTTATTGCCAATGACAGAATCCCATTCTTTTCTGATGGCTGAATAGTACTCCATTGTGTACATGTACCACATTGTCTTTATCCATTCATCTGCTGATGGATGCTTAAGTTGATTCTCAGTCTTGGCTACTGTAAATTGTGCTGCAGGGAACATGGAGAGCAGATCTCTCTTCCTTTCTTTTGGGGACCTACTCAGCAATGGGATTGCCAGATCGCACGGTAGCTCTAGTTTTAGTTTTTTGAGCAACTTCCATATGCTCTCCATAATGGTTGTACTAATTTACATTCTCACCAACAGTGTATGAGGGTTCCCTTTTCTCTATATCATCGCCAGCATTTGTTATTACCTGTCTTTCGGATAAAAGTTATTTCAACTGGGGTGAGATGATGTCTCTTTGTAGTTTTGATTTGCATTTCTCTGATGATCAGTAATGTTGAGCACCTTTTCATATGCCTGTTTGCCATCTGTGTGTCTCCTTTTGAGAAATGTCTATGCAGACCTTTAATTGGATTATTAGATTTTGTACCAGATTTGTTTGAGCTCCTAATATATTCCAGTTATGAATTCCTGGTCAGATGAATAGTTTGCACATATTTTCCCCCATTCTGTGGGTTGTCTCTTCACTCTCTTGATTGTCTCCTTTGCTGTGCAGAAGCTGTTTAACAAGATGGGATCCCTTTTGTCCATTTTCGCTTTGGTCGCCTGTGCTTTTGGGGTGTCACTCACGAAATCTTTGCCAGTCCAATGTCCTGGAATGGACTTTATTTTTAGAATAGTTTTAGTTTCATAGCCAATCTGAGCAGAAGACACAGAGGGCTCCCACGCACCCCCCTCCACACAGGCACAGCCTCCCCATCATCGACGGGCTGCGCTGGAGCTGCTTTGGAGTGAGTTTTTATTTCAGGTATTTATTTTTCAGTTTTAAAATCTCTATTGGTTCCCTTTTTGCAGTTTCTAGTTCTCTGCTGAGAATTTCTGTATTTTCCCTCTTTCTGAGTGCATTCCTCTTCCTCGTAGGCAGCACAGTTTGGTCAAGGTAGACACCTGCCGAGTGTGGTGGGTCAGCTGTCAGGTCAGCACTTCTAGTCTTGGTGTTATTTGATTTTTTTTTAAGTAGTTTGAGATTTGAGTTTTAAATCAAAGTTCATTCTATAATCATAGGAAATGTTCACAAAGTTTCAAAGTGAAGACAAAAATACCAGCTGTATAGCCACTGTTCTCTTACACACCTTTTAAATAATGATTCCTATTCTTATTTTGTGGCTCATTCTTCCATTTGTTGTTTTATTAACGTAAACATTTATCAACACGTGGCCTTTTTCTTAGACAAAGAATAGTACATCGTATACACGTTTCCATTTTTGTGGGAACCAAGGGTCGTTTTAATTTTTGCTAAATAAGTGAATAAATTATGGCATAATATTATTGAAAATATTTGACGAAGCAAATAATGTTCTTATTCCCTCATTAGTACTGACTTCAACGGATCAGCAGTTTGTCTTATTAAATTCCCTAACGTAGCTAAGACTGGGGTTATGTCTTAGTAAGGGGATTTCCATTTATCTACTCTGGATTGAACTTTCTGCCATCAAGATTGAAATTTTTGTTTAAAAATGAAAAAGACTGCCTTGTCAGCTATGTCGCATTGTGTGCGTTTGAAGGAGCGACCTCATTCATTTTTGGAGCTGGAGTTTCTTTAGTTCTGTGTTCAACTTTAATATGCCTCCTTCGTTTCCTTTTTCCCCAGATCCCTCTGTTCTGGGAGCCTCCAGTTTAGTGAACAATGCTCAGAAGCAGCAGGCATCCACTCCTAACCGTGAAGGGACTTCAATCAGGAGGCCACGGGCTGTCAGCTCGTCTCCTGCCCTGGCCTGAGGAAATGTGTGTCCTGGTGCAGGCTCTGGTGAGCTTGGTGTTCAGCAGCAGTGAGGCTGCAGGACCCCACAGCACCCTCGCCGGCAGAACAAGAAGGAGAGCTTCGGAGACCTTATTGGTGAACATATGGCAGTCTCTCATTTCCTTACTAAATCAGATGATATTACTGGAACTGGGTCATTATGCACACATTGTAATCTATCGTTAAGCCCAACAAAGTAATATTTAGCTAGCGCTTTAATTGTGCTACTGGGATTTATCTCTGCTTTTCAAAGAAAAAAAAAAAAGTCAAGTGGAAGGGAATGGGGAGAAGAAGCAGGTAATTTTCCATGTTAATAAAAGAGGCTGTCATTTTTGACAAACAAGGTTGCGGCTGAACAACCCGTTATTCTGAGAAGGGTGGAGCCGGGACCTCTTCTGACTGTGGCTGCAGGAATATGTTATTGGAAAGTGGTGACGTCATGTCCTGCCTGCAGCTTCTGTACACGAACGTTAGCAGAGAGGTGTGGTCAGATCAACTCAATGAGGTTGAATCTGTATCTCTTTTTCCACTTAAAGCAAATCCAGAAAGTATATATTTGGCCTACTACTGTTCACTTCTTTGGGCCTTTTCTGTAAACATGCTTTACCCGAATATTATGTCAACTGTCGTTTCTTTTGAGTGGCTTTTGTTTTTTGTACTCAGGAATAAAATGGTTAAAAATCTGTAGAATATAAGAAACATGTTCTGTATCAACAGCATCATCTCCACCTAACCCTGAAGCCCACCTGCCGTGGCGCTTCTTCCCACGGGCAGGGCAGCTGGTGGGCGGCATTCTACAAGGAGGGAGCCTCAGCCCGGAGAACGGTTTGCCTTTCTCTGGTGTCAGCTCGTATCAGGCTGTCATCACCTGCCCTCCAGAGTCATGTATGGAATGGCCACCCTGGGCAGGCCCATGTGGAAGAGCCACACTAGGGATCAGAGTGGCTCTTCTCTTTCAGACACGGCTTTGGGTTATGGGGAGGCAGTACCCCACGGCCGGAGGGGTCACAGGAGATGTGGACGCTGGGCTGCCAGACCTGGGAGACACACCTTTTCTTTCTCACAGCGTGTTAGCAGAAACCATCCAGAGACACTCTGGCTCTGCCTCCAGCAGCTGGTGATAAAAACAAAAACAAAAAACAAACAAAGCAAACAAACAAACAAAAAACCCTGTTTTGTTTTGTTTTCAGTCGGGGTTAATAAAAAAAGCAACTTATTAAATAGCATTTTGACAGACACAGTGGATAATGAATCCTGTTACATAGTTAAAGACCTTTAACAATTAAAAAGATTAAGCCCAGCCCGCATAGAGGATGCCTGAGGAGTGGGAGCTGTGGGGAGCAGGCAGGAGTGCTGAAGCCAGGCGGGGCCACACAGGCAGGCGACAGTGGTGGGCGTGGAGGGGCCTGGGCTGGACACCGTGTGGCCGGCCTTGGAGTCGCGACTCCTGGCTGAACCTGGACCACTGTCCTTCCGTGCGCTGCTGCAGTCCTGCCTGCACTGCCCCACTGAGGGCCAGGGTCTCTAGGGTCCAGCACGGGGTTCAGGCTGTCTCCTGGGACTTCGCTATGACTAAGGCAGGGCTGCAGTCCCAGAGCTGAATTCTGGGACCTTAGTGCAGAGCCTCTGCTCAGAGCCACAGGGAGCAGTGCACGCTGCCTAGTCGGCCTTTACTGCACACATTGAAATCCAGACTTGTTTCCACTCTGCAGACATCATCTCCTGATACGTGTCAGGAAAAGGAAGAACAGGGAACAGCAGTGGAAAAACAGGGAAAAATTTACATTTGCCAGGAGATTTGGGGTGGCAGCCCAGGAGGAATGAAGGCTGATGGTGTTAGTGTGTTCAGTTTAAAATGGAGGTCTGTGCTGGAGACATAGTTACTAAGAACATGAATGAGTTTTAGAAAGAGAATAAACGTCACTGCCTTAATTTAGAGCTTGGATTTTTCCGGGCTGAGGTGTCCCGGAGCTTGTCTGTATGGTCAGATTGGTGACGATGGTCACAAGAGGGCTCTGGAGCGTGGAGCTGTTTGCTGGGAAAGACCTTCTCCCTTTTAGCTGGAAAGTACACACAAGGTTTTGATGGCAAAGATTATGAAATATTTCAGGAATTCTCACAGCTCCAAGGAGAGGCTTTCTTCGTAGCTGATTTCTGTGTGAAAGGTTTGAGGAACATAAACCCAGGAAAATAAAATCAGTGGCTTCTAGGAGCCTATCCAGCTGCAGCTCTGAATACAGACGAGAACGCAGATGCGTGGATGTGGCCCTCTTTGCCTGGCTCCTACCTGGGGAGACGCAGGTGAGATAGATTTCATTAGTCAGTATTCTATATATTCATAAATGATTTATTTTCTTAGGATTAACTCAAAACCTTTGTCCAGAGCAAAGGTGAATGGATTAGTTGTTAAGTCTCAAGTGGTCCAACTACCCGGGGCAGCTCCCACATGGTCCTAAATGAGTCTCAGTAATATTTCCTCGATGCTGAAAAAGTTCATACATCATTACACTGAGGAAGAAACTTAGTTTCCAGTAAGCCACACAGTTTACCACTTACCATCTCTAGGAAACCCTCGGCTCTCCTGGACCCCGTCCAGTTCTTTATTAAGTAGTCTATATTTGAGAGTCTTAGAGATTTCATGTATTGTCGCCCGCCCCACATCAGCTACTAATCTTGAGGATTAGCACGTGCTATTTCATTAACCCTGAGAACAATCCCGAAACGTGGGTATGAGCTACGTTTTGATATTTTGATAATTAGGTCAAGAAAGACGAAACATTTTTTTTCTGTTTACTCTGCTACTTCTAGAAATAAATGTGAAATAAATATCTAATCCTATTTATGTAATATTTCTGATTATTCACCTCATCTATTGTTGAAAATCTGAGCTCCAGTGTTCCTGTCCATTGTCAGAGAATGTAGTCTTCTTTCTTCATTTATTTATAATTTTTTGCATTTTTAAGTCTGTTCAGCAAGATAAATATCTTGAAAGAATTCAGTCCTGTAAATATCTGAGCATGTCCTCCAAGAAAATAGCTTCTCATTTGTTTTGGGATGCAGCCAAACTTTGGTCAATTTTTTGTTTTTTTTGGCATTAAAACCAAAGTTGAAGGCTTAAAAAAAGAAGAACTGAGAAAAACAAGGTGAAACCACCACTAGTCACCATAACTAACTTCTTATACATGAAGAGGAGTGTATTTCCCATCAGGTGACCTGCTCCTTCTAGTTCGCTCTAGATTTAATTAAGAGAAATAGCTCCTGTTTTCTTATCCAGGGAAACCCAGGGACCAACAGGTTGTCCTGTCTGCAAACTCGGCGCAGCACTGTAAGTTAAAACACTTCAGCCGATTTCCAAAACTTCGGAGTCATTACGGTGGGGGATTGCTTGTTGGGACTGGCGACTAAATTGCATTCTGTGCTCCTAGGCTTCTTCTGTGCTTGAACAGTTGTGCTGAAAAACATCCGCATTCACCAAAGTCATCTCCTCAAAGAGGAACTCTCGCAATGACGTGTTAATAGCAGTGTTTTATACAGCACAGCAAATTTAGCCGATCCCTAGAGCCACAACAAATTTTGATATATTCTGCCTCTCTTTCATGGTGCTTATCTGTTTGGTATTTAACTTGCAACTTGTTATCCATTACTCATGCTGTTTGCCAATTTCTCTTCTGTTTTTCATACCACTGTCAAATTAACTTTTTACTGGAATATGCCTGGAAAAGGTAGGTGCAGCTCAAAATAAACTGGTTTGTCATTTGAATTTCTCTTTGCCTGAGTGCTTTATAGAACTTTGGCATTTTATAGATTATAAGTCACTTTAGTGCGCAGGAGGATTTACTGCTATTATCACGAGTCAGTCTATGTCTATCAATCAATCATCTATCTATCATCTATCAATCACTTATCAATCATCTATCATCTATCTATCATCTATCATCTATCTATCATCTATCAATCACTTATCAATCATCTATCATCTATCTATCATCTATCAATAATCTATCAATCTATCTATCTATCATCTATCTGTTGATCTATCCATCTATCTATCTCATCTACCTAAGAGGATACTCTTCAAAGCAATGATTAACTTGGTTTGATGATTATCCATTATTCTTACGAGAGAGAGAAGTGGGACGAGGGTACAATAGATGTTGTTGTGATTCCATTTCATTTAAAATAACATCTTGTTTGGAGGAAACTATGATATTCAAAAAGTTTTTCAGTTGCAAAAGAAAAATATCTACTTCAACTGTATGCATTCTTTGTATTTACTGTGACCCTACAAGTTCAGAGATGGTAGTAACAGATATTTCATATTGTTTTGAGAGGCTGCTAAATGTGTGTATTTATGTGTGGTTATGTGTGTATCTGTGTGATTGTGTGCATATCTCTGTGTGTGTCTCTGTGTATATATCTGCATGTGTGTATCCCTGTGTTTGTGTGTGTGTCTGTCTCTACGTGCAAGTGTGTGTTTCTGTATGTACACATAGGTACCTGTGTGTATGTGTATCTGTGCCTATATTTTTGTGTATCTGTTTGTGCTCGTGTATCTGTGTGTGTATCTGTGTCTATCCCTGTGTGCTTGTGTGTATGTATCTGTGTGTGTGCATGTAGATGTATCTGTGTATATAATTATCTCCGTGTGTTCATGTGTGTATCTGTGTGTATTTCTGTGTGCACATGTGTATCTGTGTGTTTATCTGTGTGCATGTGTGTATCTACGAGTATGTGTATCTATCTGAGTATCTGTGTGTCTGTCTGCTTCTGTGTGCATGTATCTGTGTGTCTGTATCTGTGTATCTGTGTGTTTGTGTGCATATCCGTGTGTGTCTATCTCCCTGTGCATGTGTGTTTCTGTGTATGTTTGTATGTGCATCTATCTCTCCCGCTAACCTGTGTGTGTGGGACACAGGCTGTCAGATCAGCCCAGCACCCAGGCACAGATGCTGAACTCCAGCCAGAATGGAAGGACACGGCCCGGGAAGAAGAGCCACGAGGACGCCGCGGGTGTTCTGGGGAGACCGAGCTCAGCCACCTGTGGACGCGGCCTTGGGCTGGGTGCTTCCGCCCCCTCCTTCTGCAGATCTTGGGTGCTGGAGTTGTCTGGTTTTCTCTCATCCCCCACCCCCAGACTCTCTGAAAATTTGTGAATATAAAGGGGATTCCTGGAAACTGTTCTGCTCTTTGTCAAGATGAAGACAGCAGAGGAGAGATGGCCATGTCACCTGCGTCCCCTCGAGCCTTCCACTGCTCTAGAAAACACCCCTGGGCCACCAGGACTCCCTTTATCAATAGAATCCACCCAGCAAGCCTCAGGACATCCTCCCGACCCCACTAGCTTTGAGGCACACACAGGGAAGGTGGGCTCGGCTTTCATGTTGCAGACACAAGTGTGTCTGTGGCTGCACATTGTGGAGGGAACGTGAGTGCCCAATGCTCCCTGCCAAACAGTGGCAATGGGGAGCAGCTCTTCCCAAACTTACAGTTGGGGTTTGCCACTGTGCGTCTGCATCTATCTACCTGTGTCTGTCCACATCACCTCGGCCTACATCTGCACCTGTCTGTGTCCGCAGCCTCACCCCAACGCACACCCACATCTGCATCACCGGCCCGTGTCTGCAGCCACACCCACACAGATGCCCACGTCCACACCCACACCACGTGCCACCTGCATATCCACGTCCTGTCTGAACTTAGATCACCTCCACACACTTTCATCAGTGTCTGTACCACCCCCTTCTCTATCAGTACCCACATCCATCACACAAACGCCTGTGGGAGCCAGTGTCAGGCCACATCCTCGACGCTCTCTGGAGGAGCTGCCCTAAGTGTCCTGTGCGACAAACACTGCAATTATGAAATCTGTTAATAACCCAGGAGCCTTTCACTCAGGTGCAGAGGCAAGTGAATTGAGAGTGAAATTAAATTATGGAAACAGGTTATGACAGGTGCGATATTTTTCTTTTTACCAAGGGGGGATTTACTAAACGAATACTTTAGGAAAACAGAGGCTCAATTCATTAACATTTTCAGCCCACATTATTGGGGTGTCTCTAAGACACCCAATGAGATGTTCACTGTGGAACTGTTCTCAGGTTTCAGAAACTGAAAGCCGTTTCCCGCTTTCATCTCTGTCTGTATTGAAACGCCAGCTGAAAGCGTCATTTTAAATGTATCACTGATTTTGATTTTTTAATGGAAGTGTATTATGGTGTGGCTTAGAGTGATAATTGAGCTATTATTTCTATGAGGTGAGATGACAACAAAGACTTTCAACTCAGAAAGCTCTGCATTGGAGCCTTGGCTCTGCAGCTGTGCGGCCCGGCAGCTGGGAAGGCGTCTCCACCCACAACGCTGCTGGCATCGTCCTCCGGGAGCTGGAAGTGTGGCCATAGGTCCTTGTCTGGGTTGGACCAACCACCTAGTGTTTTCCTCTGTGCTAGATGATAAATCCAATATGGCAGAGATGATAGTGTATTTTCTGTGCCTCCTGGAGTGACTGGTGCCTAAGATTATGTAATTTATTTATTTATTAGAGACAGGACCTGGCTCTGTCCTCCAGGCTAGAATGCAGAATCACAGCTCACTGCAGCTTCAACTTCCTGGGCTTAAGCAATCCTTCTGCCTCAGCATCTGGAATAACTGGGACTACAGGCATTCACCAGTGCGCCTGGCTAGTTTTTTAATTTCTCATAGAGATGGGGTCTCACTTTGTTGTCCAGGCTGGTCACATATTCCTGGCCTCAAGCTATCCTCCCTCCTCAGCCTCCCAAAGTGCTGGCATTACAGGTATAAGCCACCATGCCCAGCCCAAGATTAAGTAATTTTTTGTGGAATAAATGAGTGGCCATTAACAAATGCTACTGAAAGGTTTTGAACTGGAGTGATGTGACGTGTCTGCATTTTAGGAACATGCTTCGGGCCCAGGGAAAAGACTGGATGGGGAGGTTGAGGATGGTCCCCAGTGGCTGCTTGGGGTGGCCGGGAGGGCGGGAGAGATTTGCAGGTGGCTGGGTTAGTTGGGTTTGGAGACAAGAGCAGGAGGGAGCAGAAGAGTGACAGATGCTGTGGATTTCACAGTGGAGTGGCCAGGAGCATTGGCCACGGCAGGGGCTCTGAGAAACTTCACAGGAGAGACATGGAGTTTGTGCTCGGGTGCGTCTGAGGTGCTCCTGGGGTGTCCGAAGGCCGGTGACAGAAGGCAACAGTGATGGGCATTCAGGAGGTGAGTTTGGGTTGAAGATTCAGCTTGTAGATTCCCAGCCTTTGGTAGTTAGAGCTGTGAACAGGATGAGCTTCTGCACGAAGCCTGCTCCGTGGGATGAAGGCAGGGAACATGTTCTCCCGGGGCGACAAGATCCAGGTTCCTGGAGGGAGGAGGAGCTCTTCTGGGCTGGGCCGCAGCCCACCCTTGCCAGGAGCTCTGTTTGTTACCGGGCATCCTCCCTCTCCCACGCATCCTGCGGAGGGACCACCCTTCTCCAAAGCCCGTCTGTACCCCGTCTCTGCTGAGGAGATGTGCAGGCGCCTTCAGTGAGAACAGCCTCCTCCTTCTCTGCCTCAGCAGCACCCAGGCAGGAGGACCTCCCCACACCACGCTGCTTCAAGCTGGTACTCGCTTCCCTCCGGGAGTGACTGTGAGTTCCCTGTCCGTGCCCCTGGGAACGTGTGACAGCATCTCAATGGCTTTGATCTCACAAACGTTTTGGTCTCAACTATCTCTCCCCCAACCTGTGTGTGTGCGACACAGGCTGTCAGATCAGCCCCAGCACTGAGGCACAGATGCGGAACTCTGGCCAGAATGGAAGGACATGGCCTTACCAGTGGATGGTGAGTGGTTGCTGGATGAATTGATGTTTTGCAGTCAAGCTTTCCTCGTATGTGACGATTTCTGCCTGGTAGTGGAAGTCCTTAGAGAGGGGAGGCTCTGCCCTTGACCTTTCTGTATCCCCGAAGGGCTGTGCACAGAGTAGGTGCTCAATAGATGTGTGCTTACCTCCGTCGACCAATTCCTCTCTCAGCCTCTGGCGTTACTGAAACCCGTGGCCTGCTGAGAAGGAACAGAGAAATGTCTGTGCCCGTCAGTCATGGCCACCGTCAAAGTTGGCTGCTGAATTCCATGGTCATCACATTGTTTATGTTGTAAAGAGGATCTTCCAGGGCGGACCCTCAGGCTGAACAAAAATGAAATAGTGTGTCGTGTCATGAGCTATTCCTCATGATTATTTCCCCCGATTTGGAAGAGAAAGAGAACCTCATGTCTTCATGGACGAGCAACCATTTGATGCCTATTGAGTGCTTGTCATTGGGTTGGGAAGTTGCAAGAGTCCCTTCAAAAACAAGATCATGGCACAGACCAGGGCAGTGCATGAACCCCAACAGGGAAATCTAAGTAAACATCCCCGAGGGCTATGTTACGGGAAAATACAAAGACAGAAGGGAAAAAAAAACCTAAGTTTGAAAAGAGTTGGTGAAAAGAAGGAAAAGGTTACCGGCAGGGATCTGAAATAGACCAAATGTCCTAAGTGGTTTCACTTTAATCGCCCTTGCTGGGGAGAGGCCTGGCCCACGTCACTGTGAGACAACTCCCAGCCTCAGTTCTGGGATTAAATGGATAACGCCACATTCCTTCTCACACTTTCACGATTATTGCCACCTTTTTATGAGAATCAAGCTGTTAGTACCGGGCTTACCTCTGCTGGGGCAGCTTCCTGCAGGTCTCTTCCCAAGACAACCGTGTTCATCCAGTAGTTTTCCTTGTCCTCTGGTTTGAATAAAGTGGGCAAATAGAGTTGTCAATGACCCTTACCCATGACCTGAGAAGCCAAGGCATTTTAGCCGAGTGTTCCAGTCAACGTGGAAAATTCTCAGCTTGCTTGGACGCAGCCCACCATCCAGGAAGAACTGACAGGTTAGGGACACCTGTGCCCGTCTCTGTGTGTGTGCACGCATATGTGTGCACACGTCTGCATGTGTCTGTGCATCTCTGCATGTGTGCACATGCATGTCTGTGTGTTAAGGTATGACTGTGTGTGCCTGCATGTACATGTCTGTGCGTGTGCCCCTGTGTGTGTGTCTGTGGACATGTCTGTGTATGATGTGTGTGTCTGTGTTTCTGTTTGTGCAGGTGTGCACACACCTGTGTTTGTGCCTATGCATGTGTGTTTCTGTGTGTGCACACATCGGTGTGTTTGTGTACATGTGCATATCTGTGTGTTGTGTGTGCCTGTGTTTTTGTGAGTGCACGTATGTACACTTCTGTGTGTGTTTGCCCGTGTGCACGCATGCACGTCTGCCCTGTGGAGCTGGGGAGGTGTGGGGAGCTGCTTTACATGTGAAGGTCGCTCCCCATCTGGCTTCAGCAGCTGTTCCCCTGTGGAGGCGGTGGAAAGGCTTTAGGCAGCCTTTGACCTGGGGTGGGACTGAGCACACAGGACGAGGGTTTCTCCTTTGCACGATCTTTGTTTGAAGTGAATGTGCAGCGACAGGGACTCTGGGCACAATCGGGTAGGAGGCTCCCAGGCTCCCATCCCTGGAGAAGGTTCCTGCCAGCCCGGAACCCCTTGTTCTTCAGCATTGCAGACATGAGTTTTCTGTTTGCTCTCTCGTTCCCTGGCAATTCCCTGCCTTCTCCATTTCACGTTTGCAATTCCCACGTATTTAATAAGTGCTTTGCATTACGTTTAAATCCATGAGCAACATAGATAAGCTTGAGCCATATAAAATGGCTGATAACTACAAAAATAAGTTTCACGTGGTTCAGTCTAATATGTACTTACGCCTCATAATGGACTAAAACACAGTTTTAAACTGAGCAAAAGTCATTACTAGAAAGGAAACGGACAGTGAGCCATCGCCGCCCTCCTCGTACCCGAGTGCTCCAGCTCCCCCGCACGCGAGGCTGGCCTCGGGCTTACGGGGCCAGCGAGGGGCCTTTGTGCCGGCTCAGAGGTGCTCTCTGACCTCATCTTCGCTGCTGGGAAGCCACCTGTGGACCCCCAGGGTCTCTCGGCTCTGTCCCTTCTACAAACCCACACCCGCAGCGCTGTTCTCTGCCCTGCTGTGGGGGCAGGTTCCCTCCGGGAGAAAGGAGCAAGGTGGGCTCCGCGGCCCCATCAGGTCCTGCGGGCAACCGCGTGTGGGGTGTGCAGCAGATGGCCATCCTGGCTCTGTGGGCACAGCCTTGCGGCACGCGTCCTGCCTGCCTGGCTTGCACTTGTTCACATTAACCAGATGTTTGGGCAATTACTTCATTATTAGGGACTTACGCACCTCTTCACGTTTGCAAACAGCTACACAGAGGACCGATTCGTCCTTCTTCTAGTCACCCTTGACATAGGCGAGATCAGGGCAGGCCCTCTTAAAAACGGTGACATCTGTGGGCCATGTCCCTCCTCCAGAGGTGCCAGGTGACCCATACGCCTGGGCTGTTTGAGCACTTGAATCCCCTCAGCCCTGCTTCTGTCTCTGTGCCTCCCCTCTCTCCCTCCCCACCTTCTCTCTCTCCCTCTCTCATTCTCTCTCTCTCTCTCTCTCTCTCTCTCTCTCTCTCTCTCTCCGTCTCTCCCTCTCCCATGCCCTCTGCCCCCGTCCCTGTCTCCCGTCTGGCTCTCCCATGGATACTCAAGCTCAGGCCCCAGATCTGCTTGATTGAAATGTGCTTATCCTTTTGGACAGTAGGAGTGTCCCCGGGCTGCTGTAGCAAAGTGCCACAAACTGGAGCTGAAAACGACAGGTGTTTGTTCTCTCCTAATTCTGGAGGCCACGTGATCAAGGTATGGGCAGCCATGCTCCCTGTGACAGATTGGGGTCCTTCACCGAGGCCACATATCCGAGATCAAGGTGTGGGCAGCTGTGCTCCCTGTGGAGGCTCGGGGTCCTTCCTGCCTCCTCCAGCTCCTGGCGCCACCGTGCTCCCTGTCGGCCCCTGCCTCCCTGCAATGTCCGCCTCCATCCTCACACTGCGGCTCCCCATAGGTCGCTGTGCTCAAACTTCCTTCTTCTTATAAGGACACCAGACACTGGAATTAGGACATCTACCAGGACCGTATTTCCAAATAAGCTCTCATTCACAGCTACTGGGGGTTAGGAATTCCATGTATCTTTTTGGGAGACAGAACTCAACCCAAAACATACAGCAAAATACAAAAGAATAGGAAATGTCAGTGGAGCCATTTGTGGAAAATGCCACTTGCTGCCCCTTCCAGCCCTGACGGCCCCGCTTCCGGGACAAGGCGGCGGGCTCTGCGCCTGAGGGCCCCGCTTCCGGGACAAGGCGCCGGGCTCTGCGCCTGAGGGCCCCGCTTCCGGGACAAGGCGCCGGGCTCTGCGCCTGAGGGCCCCGCTTCCGGGACAAGGCGCCGGGCTCTGCGCCTGAGGGCCCCGCTTCCGGGACAGGGCGCCGGGCTCTGTGCCTGAAGGCCCTGCTTCCGGGACAACGCGCCGGGCTCTGCGTCTGTCGCCCACAGCTTTAGCCCTCAGAACAGAGAGCCACAGCAGAAGGGTGGTCCCTCCTCAGGGCACAGCCCATGCCACAGCTCACCTGAGTATGTGCCTCCTGCCTGGTTCCCAGGAACCGCCAGCTCACTTCTCTACAGCCTGGTATCAAGTGGTGTTCATCCACAGGAGTTACCAGGAGAAGGATGGTTATCACGATTAACTTCATTAATAAATTCGGCCATCGGCTTCCCAGCCCTGAATGAAATGCTAGAGGGCTGACGTTCAGAAGAAGGCCTCTTAGAAAATGGACCATACCAGGAGGGTGGAGTTCGATTTATTTGCATATTTTTTATTAGGGACAAGTGACTGTGGCGTTCTGTCTGTTTAATGAGATCTAAAGTTTGGAATAATCCCTCACTGAACACGATGGAGGGCTGTTTCCACTTGGGATGAACTTCATAGACAAGCCACTTAGCAGACTGCAATATCACTCATTTTAAACTGGGGTTGGGCCAAGGGCGATGAGGTGCAGGTACAGCCACATGACCCGTCCTCTTTCCTCCAGGATAAAAGGAACGTGGTTCTTCAGTAACAGTGTCCAACATGAATATAAGGAATGAAAATCTTGTGGATTTCTGGGACTTTACAGAGTCCAACTTGGAAAACACTGGTTGTATTTTGTTGTTGAAACACTTGAATCCCATCATCAAAACATAAAGGTCTCCTGTTTTGTGGTATATCTATACACACACACACACCTGTGTGTATATACACATGTGTGTATGTATAAATACATGTGCATGTATCTATATGCATTGCTTCGTTTTTATCAGATTTCCATCTGCCATCGTGTGGTGAGGGTAAAGTCCACACATGGAGATGTAAACAGTGAAAACTCAGGATGGTCTTGGCAGAAGCTAGTGCAGTCATTCACAGCTAAGCTGCCTCTAGCCAAGGCATATCTTGAGCTCAGATCTACAAGGAAAACATAACATAATTCTGCTCTCTGATACAAATTCATTGCTCTCAGCCAGCCCTTGCCCTCGCCGCGCACCCCCCACCCCCACTTCTCTTTTGGGAATCTGGTGATCTAGTGTATTCTTGAAGCGAAGATTTATCTCACAGTAGAGGCAAAACGAGAAAACACATGTGTTTAAAGCCTTTTAAATGGAAAAACTATTTTCCTAAACACAAATGACACCGCTAAGATTACCTTGTTGCTAGTTCTCTCTATTAACCAGGTAATTTACTAAATTCTTTATACAGGACAGAGTCCCCAAAGGGAAAACAATATCTGGAAGGGGTCAATTTGACGTTATCAGCACGAAAATGTGATTTGTTTCAAGTCCCATACCAAATAGATGATCAGGATGTTTACCTGATACGTGGGGCTGCCCTCATCTCCCATGCCTGTGCTTTTATTCATAAAGGGAAACATTTTTAAAAGGGAGGTGGGCTGCGCCTAGGGAGGGGGCCACTCTCTTCTTATTGGCATTCCATCCTTTTACCTGTTTGACTTATTTGCTAAAAACGTCACAGAGTTCTGGTGTGATTACGTCCGAGGTCCCTCACTTTCGGCTTCTTTCTGGCGTGCTTTTTGGATTCTTGTCTCCCCTTCTAGAAAGGGCTTTGCTAGCAGGTTGGAAGGTTATTGTGCTGAATGTCTGCAGTCCTTTGAGGTGAAGGAAATCCTACTTCTACCTAAGGAGAATCTAGAGCAAGCTTGTCCAATCCGCCACCCATGGGCCACATGAGGCCCGAAATGGCTTTGAATGTGGCCCAGCAGAAATTCGTAAACTTTCTTAAAACATTATGAGAATTCTGGGAGTTTTTTTTTAAGCTCATCAGCTATCGTTAGTGTTAGTGTATTTTATGTGCAGTCTAAGACAATTATTCTTCTTCTGATGTGGCCCAGGGAAGCTGAAAACCCGGACACCCCTGCTCTAGAGTGAAGAAAGCCGAAATGAGTGGCCAGGAGAGGCTGGGCGAGCTGAGGGTGAGGTGTTGCTCAGGGCTGTGAGCGCACAGGCACCATCCCAGCCGCATCTTGGCCTGGCTCGTCTGTGTCTTTCCCGTTGGAAATAGGGCTGTGGCAGGTTTCCGAGGGCCTCCCCAAGCACGAGACTGTCACCCAGGGCAGATGCTCTGAGCCAGAAGGGAATGTGGCACTTTAAACCACCATGTGCTCTCTCCGGCACGCGGGAGTTCACGCGCCTAAGCTTGTTGCTTGCTTATTCAAACTTGATGATGTCTCAGGGAAACCGGAGCTCTCTAAGTCAACTTGATGAATCTTTCTTGTCCCTGTGGTCATCGTTGGCATGAAGAGACACTTGTGACGATGTTTCCCAGCATTCTTGGCGCTTTCTGAGAGTCACAGTCCCCGCCTGCCTTTCTGGGCTTTTCTCCCTCCTCTCTTGCGGTGGCCACACAATGCCTCCTGGCCAGGACAGACCTGGGCTTCCCCTCAGGGTGGCATCCAGCCTCTCTCCTGCCTGCACCACCTCCTCCACATCTTTCCTGCAAAGGCTGTGGTTGCCTGGTGGTGTCCACTTCCAGGGAGCGTCTGCATGCCTGGCTCCTCACGGCCGTCGCTTTGAATCCTCTCAAAGACATCATCGACCAGGTCAACTAGTCTTCAGGCCCTAGTAGTGGCAGTGGTAGGCTGAGTATGTCTTTCCTTGGGCCCCTGGGTAGTGTCTGCTGACCCACTGTTAGTAGATCTAGATAGGCTGACTCTTGCGGTAGTGTCTGCTGACCCACTGTTAGTAGGTCTAGATAGGCTGATTCTTGGGGTAGTGTCTGCTGACCCACTGTTAGTAGATCTAGATAGGCTGATTCTTGGGGTAGTGTCTGCTGACCCACTGTTAGTAGAACTAGATAGGCTGATTCTTGGGGTAGTGTCTGCTGACCCACTGTTAGTAGGTCTAGATAGGCTGATTCTTGGGGTAGTGTCTGCTGACCCACTGTTAGTAGGTCTAGATAGGCTGATTCTTGGGGTAGTGTCTGCTGACCCACTGTTAGTAGAACTAGATAGGCTGATTCTTGGGGTAGTGTCTGCTGACCCACTGTTAGTAGGTCTAGATAGGCTGATTCTTGGGGTAGTGTCTGCTGACCCACTGTTAGTAGATCTAGATAGGCTGATTCTTGGGGTAGTGTCTGCTGACCCACTGTTAGTAGGTCTAGATAGGCTGACTCTTGCGGTAGTGTCTGCTGACCCACTGTTAGTAGGTCTAGATAGGCTGACTCTTGGGGCAGTGTCTGCTGACCCACTGTTAGTAGGTCTAGATAGGCTGATTCTTGGGGCAGTGTCTGCTGACCCACTGTTAGTAGGTCTAGATAGGCTGATTCTTGGGGTAGTGTCTGCTGACCCACTGTTAGTAGGTCTAGATAGGCTGACTCTTGCGGTAGTGTCTGCTGACCCACTGTTAGTAGGTCTAGATAGGCTGACTCTTGGGGCAGTGTCTGCTGACCCACTGTTAGTAGGTCTAAATAGGCTGACTCTTGGGGCAGTGTCTGCTGACCCACTGTTAGTAGGTCTAAATAGGCTGACTCTTGGGGCAGTGTCTGCTGACCCACTGTTAGTAGGTCTAGATAGGCTGACTCTTGGGGCAGTGTCTGCTGACCCACTGTTAGTAGGTCTAAATAGGTTGATTCTTGGGGCAGTGTCTGCTGACCCACTGTTAGTAGGTCTAGATAGGCTGACTCTTGGGGTAGTGTCTGCTGACCCACTGTTAGTAGGTCTAGATAGGCTGACTCTTGCGGTAGTGTCTGCTGACCCACTGTTAGTAGGTCTAGATAGGCTGACTCTTGGGGCAGTGTCTGCTGACCCACTGTTAGTAGGTCTAGATAGGCTGATTCTTGGGGCAGTGTCTGCTGACCCACTGTTAGTAGGTCTAGATAGGCTGATTCTTGGGGCAGTGTCTGCTGACCCACTGTTAGTAGGTCTAGATAGGCTGATTCTTGGGGTAGTGTCTGCTGACCCACTGTTAGTAGGTCTAGATAGGCTGATGCTTGGGGTAGTGTCTGCTGACCCACTGTTAGTAGAACTAGATAGGCTGATTCTTGGGGTAGTGTCTGCTGACCCACTGTTAGTAGATCTAGATAGGCTGATACTTGGGGTAGTGTCTGCTGACCCACTGTTAGTAGATCTAGATAGGCTGACTCTTGGGGTAGTGTCTGCTGACCCACTGTTAGTAGGTCTAGATAGGCTGACTCTTGCGGTAGTGTCTGCTGACCCACTGTTAGTAGGTCTAGATAGGCTGACTCTTGCGGTAGTGTCTGCTGACCCACTGTTAGTAGGTCTAGATAGGCTGACTCTTGGGGCAGTGTCTGCTGACCCACTGTTAGTAGGTCTAGATAGGCTGATTCTTGGGGCAGTGTCTGCTGACCCACTGTTAGTAGGTCTAGATAGGCTGATTCTTGGGGTAGTGTCTGCTGACCCACTGTTAGTAGAACTAGATAGGCTGATGCTTGGGGTAGTGTCTGCTGACCCACTGTTAGTAGATCTAGATAGGCTGATTCTTGGGGTAGTGTCTGCTGACCCACTGTTAGTAGGTCTAGATAGGCTGATTCTTGGGGTAGTGTGTGCTGACCCACTGTTAGTAGGTCTAGATAGGCTGACTCTTGGGGTAGTGTGTGCTGATCCACTGTTAGTAGGTCTAGATAGGCTGACTCTTGGGGCAGTGTCTGCTGACCCACTGTTAGTAGGTCTAGATAGGCTGATTCTTGGGGCAGTGTCTGCTGACCCACTGTTAGTAGGTCTAGATAGGCTGATTCTTGGGGTAGTGTCTGCTGACCCGCTGTTAGTAGATCTAGATAGGCTGATTCTTGGACCTCCAGGTGTCTTGCTCCAATGACAGTAGTGGCAGCAGAGGGCCAGAAGGGTGGTCAGGTTCTCGGGCCCCTAGGCTGCAGGTATGGCATGGAGGATGGCAACAGCAGTGGCATGCTGGTGTTAGTGGTGGCTGCAGTGGGCTGGAAGTGCCAGTTTCCAGGCATTCAGGTTGTGCATGCAGGTAGGGGCCGGCTGTGGTGATAGCAGCGGAGTGGCTGGGCCCACCCAACCTCAGGCCTCTGGGAAGTGGTCAGGTGCCAGCGGTGGTGAATGTGGCTGGGCAATCCCCACGCCCCCAGACTGCATGCTCTGGCATGAAGTGCGCATGAACTTGCACTGGGTGTGTTTGTCCTCAGGCCCCCAGTGGTGCGTGCAGGTGCTGGCCGTAGGCAGAGGTGAGATGATCCCCAGGCTCCTGGCAGAATGCTCAGATTGGGGATGTCAGCACCTGCACTGTGGCCCTGCCTCTGGGGAAGGAGGGGTTGATTTCAGTGGCCGCTGAAGACAGGGGGTGGTCGGAGGGATGCACACTTGGCTTGCGCCTCTTCGTCAGTGGTGGCGGTTTACACGTCACTCACATCCCGGCCCTGGCAGCAGCAGCTCACACCCCACTTGCACTTCAGCCTCGGCAGTGGCAGCCCACGGTGACAGCAGCTGCAGGTGGGGCACCCTGCCTTGTCACCTGAAATGCATGGCGGCCCCACTGCCAGTGGGGTGATGCTGCTTGTGGCCACACCTCAGCCCTGGTGGTGGCAGCTGCACATGGGAGATGTCAGTGGGATTCTAGGGAGGTGGAGACACAGGTGCCACAGGACAGGGCACAGTCTGTTGGGGGCTGGGCTCTCAAAATGCTGCTTTGCTGTAGCTGTTTAGGACTCAGGGTGTGCGTGGGACCTGGCGTGAGCTTCCTCTCTGGAGCAGCACTGCGACTGTCTCCAGGAAGCTCCCTGTGTCAGGTTCCCCTCTAGCGATGGTCGAGGGGCTCTCCCATGGCCAACGATGCAGGAGCTCACAGTGGGGATGTGAACCCTGGGGGTTTCTCCCTCACCCCTTCCCCACATTGGGACATCTCTCTGGGCTCCCAGCCCATCCTGGCCGGGAAGGCTGCCTTGCCCTCCTCTCCTTCCCTGCTGGAGAGGCTTCCTGTCCCTTCTCTGTTCAGCTCATGTGTTCTCGTTCGTATGATCTACTTGAAGTGTGATTGTCTAATGACGACTTTTGTTCTTTGTGGAGAAGGCAAGTTGAAGATGCCTCTAGTCAGCCATCATGGGAGCCCCTCAGAGTGTTTTAATTTTTTAAAGTTTTTAACTTTTAATGCAGAAAAATTTCCACTTGAAGCATTCAGCCAAGTTCTAAAGATATCTTCACGCCTGTCCTGTTGTATCATGTTAACTTTTCCCTCATTGTATTCATCCGGTAGTTGATTATTTATGGAACTGTACTGATGTTAATGTTGTACTTTTTACCTTACTGAATTATTTCACAATTTATAACATTGTTAGGTGATGTTGTGTGTGTGTGTGTGTGTGTGTGTGTGTGTGTGTGTGTGTGTGTGTGTTTCCTAAGTAAGCAACCCTTTCATCTGCAAATGATGAGTGATTCTCCTGTGGTCTCGGTTCCCTACCACCTTCCCTGCCTGGGATCTGCAACTTCCCAGTCCCTGGCTTAGAGACACGTTTCAACCACTACCAAATGCTTGCAAACTTGTCCTTAACGCACCTCAGTTCCAGCTTTCCCCTCCTTTCCCATCATAATCCCCACACACGGCTGCTGCTTCTCAGCATCTAATATCTGGTTACCGTAACTCATTTATATGTTGCTGTGGAGCAGATGACAGGGTTCAGGACATCGACTAGACCCCAGGGACAGAAAAGCACAGGAAACAGACCTGGATCTTAGTGACCTCTCCATCTGGGTTTCAGGCGACTCCCCGCATGCCTGTGAGGGACTCCTGCTCCCTGGAGTTTCACAGTTCTGGGCTTCTCCCACTTCTGTGCAAGCCAGAAATGCCTGGACACCACACCTCGTTTAGTCAAAACAGGGTCCCTATACAATACTCAGCGATGCCTGAACATCTTATGCCCTGTCTAGTCATGACAGGGTCCCTAAACAATACTCAACACTGTGTCTATTTTATAGAAGAAATGGAGATTTGTGACTTGTCTTTGTTCCATAGGCAGTAAGTGTCAGACCCGGACTTCAAACCCAGTCTGTCTCCCAAGGTCGCCCTCCCTCTAAGAAGTTTCTAACCTTTGGCTCCGCATCCCCGTCCTCACTCCACTTCCTTAGAATCCTTCTCATGCTACTACCGCATGGATATTTCAACTTGGATTTCCTTTCTGAGCTTCCCTCCTCAGCTGCTATTCCTTCCTCCCTTTGCCTTTAAGTGTTTGCTTTTTAAAGACGTGTGGACACGTCGCACCATTGTTCCAAAGCTACAGACGACTTTCTGTTACCACCAGCACACATTCGCCCACGCAATGACATTCCCAACTTTCCATTCTCTGGCCAGTTTCCCCTTCCAGCCTTATTTTCCACTCACTTTTCCCAGACACCCTTTAAACACCCTCTTCCCTGCCTGAACTTCCCTGACAGGGACCATGTCATTCCAGAACATGCCTCCACATTTTCCTGCCTCTGTTTAGACTCTTCTCTCTGACTTTATCTCCTTCCCTGCTTGACAGACTTCAGTCTTCTCAAACCCAATTGAATCGTCTCTTCACGTATGAAATAATCCTTCACGGCTAGACATAACGAACATTATCTGTCACCCACAGCATGAACATCACCTTATATTTATCTTAATGATTTGTCTATAGAGCTATGCCCTGACTAGAAGTTGAGCTTCAGCTGGGCACGGTGGCTCATGTCTGTAATCCCAGCACTTTGGGAGGCCGAGGCACTTTGGATGATTTGAGGTCAGGAGTTTGTGACCAGCCTAGCCAACATGGCGAAACCCCATGTCTACTGAAAATACAAAAATTAGCTGGGCGTGGTGACTAGCGCCTATAATCCCAGCTACTCAGCAGGCTGAAGCAGGAGATTAGCTTCAACCCAGGAGGTGAAGGTTGCAGTGAGCCAAGATGGTGCCACTGCACTCCAGCCTGGGTGACAGAGTGAGACTCTGTCCAAAAAAAAAAAAAAAAAAAAAAAAAAAACGGAGCTTCATTTTTTTCAAGCAAAGATTGTGCATTACAGTAGTTGGCATTTTGGTAAGTACTCAGTAAGTGCTTTATTATTAAATGAAAATGTTATAATATTTTGCTGCCTGTCTTTGTAGGACATAATTGACAGCTGTGAATAAAACACATGCTATGTTCTCCTTTTTGCTTATTGACATGGAATCTAATTGTCATGTTGTAATGTTGAGATTTCTTCATTTACTCTTCCAGAGTAATGACTCCTCTGTCTTGCTGGTGGGCGTTTTATATTGTACAGCAACAATTCATTTTATGTTACGTAACAGCAATTAATTTTCTCAATTCACAGATAAGGATACAGAGTTACAACTCACTACAGTTAATGACAGTTTCCAGCAACCCAGTATGGCCTCTGGGGCAAACCTCCGAGGGACACCACCACAATAATCATATCCATTACTATATTCAATTCAACAAATGCATATATAAATATAAATTAATATGTACCAGAGATCGTTGTAGGCACCAAAGCTATAACGATGATGTTAATAACGCAGCAGTCCTATAGGGTCGGCTGTGTGCTCAGTGGAAATATTCTGAATCCTTGAATTCTTCAAACTGCTCTTTGAGACAGGTGGTGTTTTACATGGTCTTATAGGACTGTCACCTGGGCCATGGGGCGGTAACGGACTGCAGCCACATGACATAGTGAGTGGAGAAGCTGACCTTGGAATTCTGATGTGCAGCGCCCACCTTAACCGTGTGATGTGGTTGTTCTCACGTGTGGATGTGCTAACCTGTGGTCGGCGCCCACATGTGGACGGTGCTCTTGTGTGGATGGTGCTCTTGTGTGGACAGTGCTCATGTGCAGGTGGTGCTCATGTGTGGATGGTGCTCATGTGTGGACGGTGCTCTCGTGTGGGCGGTGCTCATGTGTGGGTGGTGCTCATGTGTGAACGGTGCTCATGTGTGGGTGGTGCTCATGTGTGGGTGGTGCTCATGTGTGGACGGTGCTCTCGTGTGGGCGGTGCTCATGTGTGAACAGTGCTCATGTGTGAACAGTGCTCATGTGTGGGTGGTGCTCATGTGTGGACGGTGCTCATGTGTGGACGGTGCTCATGTGCAGGTGGTGCTCATGTGTGGATGGTGCTCATGTGTGGACGGTGCTCTCAAGTGGGCAGTGCTCATGTGTGGATGGTGCTCATGTGTGGACGGTGCTCTCGTGTGGACAGTGCTCATGTGCAGGTGGTGCTCATGTGTGGACGGTGCTCTCATGTGGACGGTGCTCATGTGTGGATGTGCTCACGTGTGGATGGTGCTCATGTGTGGGTGGTGCTCATGTGTGGGTGGTGCTCATGTGTGGGTGGTGGTCATGTGTGAATGGTGCTCACGTGTGAATGGTGCTCATGTGTGGGCGGTGCTCATGTGTGGACGGTGCTCTCGTGTGGGCGGTGCTCGCATGCGGATGCTGCTGCTCTGAGACACACCAGTCCTCTGCCTTCAGGACAGCTTAAATGGTTCACAGATGTCTAGACACTTCTATGTCTCTAGGAGATTATGTTCCACAATCTCCTTTGTGGAAATTCTCTGAATTCAGGACCCATATCTGCTTTTCATCATTCTAGCTCAGCGGTCTAGCATCACCCTGGTGTATTTTAGATGCAGTAACTATTTTGCCAAATTGATTTGAATCACACTAAAAACCTGAGCAGGAATTTACAGGGTTTGTCTAAAACGTTGAGTACCATCTCCATTCCTCACAGCTCACTGCTGTGGAAGGTGGCTCTGCTTCTCTTTTGTGGCACAGGATTTCCTTCTGGGGCAAGAGATGAACATTTACTCTCGAGGAAAAGCGCATCCTTCTCTCCAGTGTGCTTGGAATTCCAGTCTAGGAGTTCACTGAGAAGCAACAAACTCACGTGTAAGCCTGACTGAGGAGAGATGAATCACTGACCTGTGGAACTGTCCACCCAGGAGCAAACTGCAGGGGAAATTCCCAGTGTGGGGAGATAGTCTTGAACCAAAGAAAATATGCTTCGGGGATGAATTTTATCATTAAGCCTGAGGAGTTGACGTCTGAGAAAGCCAGGGGCCGTGGTACATTTCCTTCAGTGTTGCTGTGTAAATACCTGGCAATCAGACAGCTTCCCTCCTCTCAGGCCTGCAGGGCGCAGACCACTGGCCCCCAGGTCTTACGGCAGGTCCTGGGCCGGAGACTGGTCTGCAGCCAACGCCACCAGCGCCCAGGCTCTCCTTGGCCGGCCGGGTACACTGTTGCCATCCAAAGCACACAATATTGGTGGTGTCAAGAGAGTGGACTTCAAGACAAAACTACTTGTTTTGTGAAAATAGTCACACACTGACACGGACTCCTTTAGGACTGATCCTCTAGCTTGTCATGCGACTCTTCCACCGTATAATGGAGGCTGAAGGAAACAGCACGAGGTAGATATTCTCTGGTGAGGATGCACATAGTTATCCCGAGTGGTGTAAAGTTAGAGGAGATGTGTGTCTCAGTCTCACTGTGGTGACCATGACCCTTTCTTTCTGCTATGAAGTTGCTGGTTATTTTTAAATGTGAGTGACACGGGATTGTAAAGTTTGTACGTGGCTACAGCATGGCACAGGGTTGGCTTTGCGATGCCTTAGGATGTCTGAGAATCACGGGCTTCTTTAGTGAGAATTTTTTTTCAGAACATGCAATTATGCTCCCTGTGTGTGAAAATAATCATAGGAAGCGATGCTTGGGGGGTTTTCAATGACAGATGATCAGAAAAGCGGAGGTGGCCGCCTTGGGCTTTACAGAGGAAGGGGAAAGCCACGTTGCTTCCTAGGGGCCCACAGAGCCACCGCCCGTCTGCGGACGGCGAAATGTGTGAGAAAGCAAACTCGGAAAATTCTCATATGCATATGAAAAATCACCGCATGAAAGGGGGCCGGGGATTAGGACAAGATAAATTTATGCCCGGCTTTGCACATTCCGTTGACAAATTTGCTGTTTTTGCGTTGTGGCCTCCGACCTCCTGGTTACCGAGGGGATAACATTAAATGGAGAAAATGGCTTATTCTGTGCGATAAATTCAAACAGAGATGACGCACTTCGCCCACCAAGTATACCTAAGAAATTGTGGGGAAATGCCAAGCATTTCAAGAGAAAGCTGCTGTGAATTCTGGCGCTGGCGGCTCGAGCGATTTCTGCAGAGGAGAAAGGTCTCTTTGTTCAAGCTCAGCTGACTCTCAGCGTGTGGAGTGTCCGCAGCTAGGGGGTCGCATGGAAGCTGAAGCAAAGAAAGGAAACCGGAGATGTGACAAAACGCTGGCGCTAGAGGGCTGAGGCGCGAGGAGGCCGCTTTGACAGGGCCGCGGCACACGGAGCTCGGGCCCGGGCCCTGGCTCGCCTCCCTCCCTGCCACCCGCACACTCTTCTCTGCCAATGGGGTGCCCTTCCCCGGAAAAGCCACTGCACAGCGGGTCATGGGGGCAGCAGCGAGGGGCAGTGGGTGCCCCCTATTCAGAGCACCGTCACCACTACCCGGCCAGGGCTGCCAAGAAACACGCATGGACTGTTGGCGGTGAGGCCTCCGTGCGTCTTAATAACAGCGAGATGGAGCAGTGTTCTCCATTCAGCACTTGGGGAAACAGAGAGGAGGAAAGTCTCTCCAGCAGATGCTGGGAATTTGTTTTGATTTGGATCACATTTCATTTGGGAAAATAAAGAAACTAAAAGGAAAAAGAACACACACACAAATCCTCAGCACTAAAAACAAAATGAAACCACCCTGGCCTGCTGATGGCACATTTATGTGGAGTGGCAAAGGCTCTGGCGGTGGCCCTGATTCAGGTCGGGGGTGGCAGGGAGGGAGGGCTGCTCCGGGTGGGGAGAATGAGGGGGTGGGGGGAACAGGACAGAGACCACCCCCGCCACTGCAGCAAATTAGCCATTCACAGCCGTGTTCACACTGTAGAGGGCTTTCCCCAGGTGACCCTTGGGGGCCAGGAGGGAGGAAGGGCAGAAAGGCCACCTCCTCTGCGCCCACTGCATGGCTGCCGGTTTCCACATCAAAGCCTCCTGCCAGGAGCTAGTGGCAGCTCTGTCCTCAGTGCCCTGTGACAAGCTTGGTACGCACCTCTCCCTGGCCTTCCCTCATCTCAGGACAAGGTGAGTTTCCGCAGTGCCTGTGTGGACGCAGGGCCTCTTCAGCTGCCGGACGCCGTGCTGGAGTGAACTTCACTGGCTTCCAGCCTCCCTGCCTCCCCGCCCTGCTGGGTTTCAATCTCTTCTGCCCGAGCACACGTTATCCACCTGTCAGAGCGGCTGCTGATAATCCCTGTGACATGGGCACTATTGGCCTTTTTAAATGAGAGGTAAAGATTATCCCTGCGTGATGACAGGAAAGCAGCGCAGGCCCGTCCTGCTCTGTGGCCAACACCGTGCTCTGTGCGGCTGGCATCCTCAGGTCCATCCTCCTGGTCGACACCGTGCTCTGTTGGCCTGGCATCCTCAGGTCCATCCTCCTGGTCGACACCGTGCTCTGTCGGCCTGGCATCCTCAGGTCCATCCTCCTGGTCGACACCGTGCTCTGTCGGGCTGGCATCCTCAGGTCCATCCTCCTCCTGGTCGACACCGTGCTCTGTCGGGCTGGCATCCTCAGGTCCATCCTCCTGCTGGTCGACACCGTGCTCTGTCGGGCTGGCATCCTCAGGTCCATCCTCCTGCTGGTCGACACCGTGCTCTGTCGGGCTGGCATCCTCAGGTCCATCCTCCTGGTCGACACCGTGCTCTGTCGGGCTGGCATCCTCAGGTCCATCCTCCTCCTGGTCGACACCGTGCTCTGTCGGGCTGGCATCCTCAGGTCCATCCTCCTCCTGGTCGACACCGTGCTCTGTCGGGCTGGCATCCTCAGGTCCATCCTCCTCCTGGTCGATACCGTGCTCTGTCGGGCTGGCATCCTCAGGTCCATCCTCCTGCTGGTCGACACCGTGCTCTGTCAGGCTGGCATCCTCAGGTCCATCCTCCTCCTGGTCGACACCGTGCTCTGTCGGCCTGGCATCCTCAGGTCCATCCTCCTGCTGGTCGACACCGTGCTCTGTCGGGCTGGCATCCTCAGGTCCATCCTCCTGCTGGTCGACACCGTGCTCTGTCGGGCTGGCATCCTCAGGTCCATCCTCCTCCTGGCCGACATCGTGCTCTGTCGGGCTGGCATCCTCAGGTCCATCCTCCTCCTGGCCGACACCGTGCTCTGTCGGGCTGGCATCCTCAGGGTTGAGTTAGGCAGCAGAGGGCGCAGGGGCAGCTCTGACTCCAGCAGCTGTAGACCTCAAAAGGAGTCTAATCTCAGACCCTGAGTCTCCCCGTGGACAGTGAAGACGCTGCGTGCCGCACAGGTGAAGGGGCCCACTGGGGAGCTTAGTTCAGGGAGTCCTCACGCAGTCCCCAAGCTCTGCTCTCCTCTGGGAGCTGCGCCGTTCTGTCTCACGAAGGTGAATGATCCTCGTTCCTGCCGTCAGTCCACCAGGAGCACGGCGTCTCACCAGGCAGCCCCAATGCCGTGTGCACGAGTCACATTGATGTTTGCTGCAGGACACTCTGGGAAACATAGAGGGGATGGGCCATTCCTACTGGAAGGGTGTCCACTGAAACTTCTTGGGAAGCCTTGCAGGACAAGCAGCACTCATCTGTGTGTGGGCTGTGAAGGGAGGAAGGTGTCAGAGCCAAGGGGAAGGTGCAAACCGGGCCAGGGCCAGGGCCAGAGGGTTCGGTGCACGTGGGCAGCACACACAGTGCAGCCCTGAGGAGCCTGGGGCTTGGAGAGGGTCAGACCCTGGGAGCCCCTGGCTCCCACTCCCCTGGGGACGTTCCTGTCTCATCTCAGAGACACCATGGGCAGCAGCGCTGGGGCATGGCCCATCAGGTCTCCTGCCTGTCCCCAGTGTACCCTCGGCTATGTTTTACTGCAGACGAGGCAAACACTCAGAGGCAGCTGCAGCAGCTCTGTGTCAAAGGGAAGCCGGATCTGCCGTGGGGTTCTTTCCAGGACCTCACCATTGCGTGCTTCTCGTGGCCAAGCAGGCCCCCTGCACAGTGCCCTGAGCCAGCCTGTGTTCGCTGGGAGCCAGCAGGAGGCGGGGAGACCCTCTGCGTCACCATTTCTTTTTCTGGAGGAAGCGGGTAAAGAACAGCTCTGAGGGCAGTGGGGCTGCACCACGGAGGTGGGAACAGGACCCCAGCACCCCATCCGAGCCCTGTATGTGGGAGGGAGAAGGAACCAGGAGGTGAGGGCTCAGCCGGAGCAGCTGCTGCATGCGGGGAAGGAGTCTACCTAAGTACTGTGAAGTGCTCATTCGGCTCCCACAGAGGCAGCGGCAGATTGCCCGAAACTATCGCAGTCGGTGCCAGCCAGAACGTTCCCATTAGGCAGAGCACATGGAGCCTCGTTTACCCTCATCTGGGGCTTTAATGGAAGTTTTAAGTCAATGGGAAATTCAAGCTTTGGATGAGCAGTGAATGTGGCCTGGAGGTGGTGCAGGGCGCAGCGGTGTCAGCAGAGTCACAAGAGGTGGGCGAGACGGCCATGCCCTGTCCCGGTACAGCAGGCCAGCGCTAAGGATCGAGACGGCCATGCCCTGTCCCGGTACAGCAGGCCAGCGCTAAGGATCGAGACGGCCATGCCCTGTCCCGGTACAGCAGGCCAGCGCTAAGGATCGAGACGGCCATGCCCTGTCCCGGTACAGCAGGCCAGCGCTAAGGATCGAGACGGCCATGCCCTGTCCCGGTACAGCAGGCCAGCGCTAAGGATCGAGACGGCCATGCCCTGTCCCGGTACAGCGGGCCAGCGCTAAGGATCGAGACGGCCATGCCCTGTCCCGGTACAGCGGGCCAGCGCTAAGGATCGAGACGGCCATGCCCTGTCCCGGTACAGCGGGCCAGCGCTAAGGATCGAGACGGCCATGCCCTGTCCCGGTACAGCGGGCCAGCGCTAAGGATCGAGACGGCCATGCCCTGTCCCGGTACAGCGGGCCAGCGCTAAGGATCGAGACGGCCATGCCCTGTCCCGGTACAGCGGGCCAGCGCTAAGGATCGAGACGGCCATGCCCTGTCCCGGTACAGCGGGCCAGCGCTAAGGATCGAGACGGCCATGCCCTGTCCCGGTACAGCGGGCCAGCGCTAAGGATCGAGACGGCCATGCCCTGTCCCGGTACAGCGGGCCAGCGCTAAGGATCGAGACGGCCATGCCCTGTCCCGGTACAGCAGGCCAGCGCTAAGGATCGAGGTTAATGAGACGGGCACGCGAGGGGCTCACCTGCTTCTCATGCTAACGTGCCCCGCAGTGGCTGGAACGCGTGAGCTGTTTTTAATGTTGAGGACGAGGGATGAGAAGATGAAGCGTCCTGAGGCAAACACTCAGAGGCAGCTGCAGCAGCTCTGCGTCAAAGGGATGCCAGTCTGCCGTGGGGCTCTTTCCAGGACCTCACCATTGCATGCTGCTTGTGGCCTGAGGCGTCCTGAGGCGTGATGTGTAAAGTGGCCTTTCTGTTTATCTCAGTCTGTGTGGAGGCTGGTTTCAGGGTGTGCAGTCTCTCCTTGGAACCGTGCTCAGGACAGAAGGCCAGGCTGCAGAGCCTCCTCCTGCCTCCTGCCAGTGCCTTGGGCTGGGCCCAGAGGAGATGCCCAGCCAGGGGTTGGAGTTCAGCTGCCATTAGTCCATGGGTCACCCTCGCCTCTCACAGGGCTGCTGGTGGTGGATCACGTGGAGCAAAGTGAGATTTTTTACAAAGGGGCTCTGCGGCAGGTGCCGTTCTACTTCAAATCTTCAGTCTTTCTCGCTCCACGGAAAGGTGAAAGTCCGTTGCACCTCTCTCTGGTCAAAACGCGTGCCCACGTTGACACCTTTACTATTGAGAGCCCGTGGTGTGCACGCCACAGTCACATCCATGGTGTCACACCTGCTTCCTGGCGGACACAAGCTGAAACCTGGCAGCAGAGGTAACATTTGGAGACTGCATGTTTTGCCTTTGTGGTTGCTTTTCTGCATTAGAGGAGCACAGGCTGGACCCCAGGACTTCGCCCCTGCTGCTCCCTAGGAAGGGGGCCCCACCCTGGTGAGGCACTTGGGGGTGGGTGAGTGTCTGATAAAGGGGAGGCCATGGCAGCAGACCTTCCCGGAAACTTTCACCCTGGCAGGTGAAGAAGCAGGGGCTGTGGGGATGTGGCCGGGATGAGGCATGGCTGAACAAAGGCACCGAGAGACCTGAGGGCTGGGCCACTCTCAGCCTCACGGGCTGATGGTCCAGGGTTGGCTGGCATAGAGGTTAGAAGGAGGCCTGTCTGCTTTTGCCATGAGTAGTGGACAAGAAAACGCGCTTTCTTCACAATGGGCCGTTCTCTTCACCCAAGATCTGGGGTTATGAAGAATTAAACTTGCACATTCCTACATCCAGTCGGAATCGGCTCATACCTCACCGCCGTGCATTGTGGTGACCCAGCTGATGTGGAGACAGATGTGGCTGGAGGTAGTGTTGCAGAGGCTGGTAATAAAAACTGTAATCATCTGGAATATCTGCCAAAGGGCAAAACTGCAGTTCGCCCAAGAGGCAGTGTGTCAATGCCCTTTTTATGTCACCCCCCAGCACCCACCGAGGCCCTGGCATTTACGGCCCTGACAGCTTGTCTATAAGAAGCCCCGCTTGTGAGGGATTTATAACTCAACCATAAAAACCCACTCTGAGTTTAAGGCTGGCATGCGGGAACTCAGCTCAGAAGTGAATTAATTAATGAATTTGTCCTTTCTTTCATCAATTTGACTGACACGTTCAACCATACCCCTTGAGATGTGATCTCAACAGATCTTATAAAACAGAAACTTTAGGCTTGGCCAATGCCTGGAATGAGAGGACGCTGGTGGAAATCAGCTGCCCTGTAGGAACCGGGGAATGGGAGTCGGTTCCGTTAGGGCCTGGCAGGCGCCACAGGCTGTGGCTGACCGAACAGAGATATTAAGGGCTGGGAGACCTGAGTTTGAGTCCAGACCCTGGCCAGGGGCTCCTCTCTGAGCCTCTGCGGTTTTGTGCAAGGTTGGGATCCTTCTTCCCTGCCCAGTTGTCCCTGGGGTGCAGGAAAAGGGAGCAGCCTCCTTCCTTTCCGCTTGTTACTGCTCCTCCCTAGGGGATGGCCTTTCTCAGCAGGTGAGGTAGGGAGGGGTCTCTGTGCCTGTGGCTGGTAGAGGCCCCACACGACTGGCCTGTGCTCACCCCGAGCTGACCCTCCAGACCCCGTCCCTCCAAGCAGGGCCTGAGTAAATAACTGGTTTGTCCTGGAGGCCAGGGTACACTCTGCCTGGAGTGGACGAGCTTCTGCATGCACCGTGGGGTGGAGGTGGCAGCCGGGCAGTAGCAAGGCTGCTCTTGGGTGGTGTGAGAGTTTTCGTCAGCCTAAAGCACTGTGTGACCAGTGCTCATAGCCATGAAACCGTTAGTGTAGTGGAAAATCCACCAGAGTATTTGTGAGTTCAACATCGTGACTCTACAGCACTCCCACGGCATTCCGAAGGTCACCCAGAAGGAAGAAGCGCTGAGGGGCCCTCGCTCAGAGAACGAGAAAGGTCAGCACCTGCCCTGGGAAACTGACCTCAAAATTTCACGAGGTGACCTTTGCTGTGTGGTGTACCCCAGAGGCGTTTTACCAGGGTGATCCTGACACAGGTTCCTTCTGTCTCGGATGGGATCTGGGCCGTCCTGCAGTGACAGCGCCATGCTCAGGTGGGGCCCTGTCTTCACAGAGGGTGACTTTGAACGCTGGGCTGGGAGTCATCGGCTGCCCCTCCACAGAGACAGAGACTCCACGGGTGCCGAGGCTGCAGTCCTGGGGGCATCTGCCCGAGCTGTAGATCCACGAAGGGACCGAACAACTCGCGGACACCTGAGACCCAGGTATGAATACAAGGAAACAGAGGTAAGACCTTCAGCATGAGGGGAGACAAGGAGTGGTGCAGACGGAGGACGGAGGGAAGAATGAAAGATGGGAGGCAGTGATGGGCAGCAGGGCCGGGTGCACCGTGCCTGTTCCCACTGTGCCACAAGCATAATCTCAGTGGGAGAGAGCCCAGGGCTCCTTGCTGGCAATCCTTTGAAAATATTGAATTATAGAACGAGATAGATAATAAGCAAATGGACTCTTAAAATATGAATTCGCACACACATTATGTCTCTGGGCCCCGGCCTCTTTGAGTGTCAGCTAATTCAGCCAAGGTCTAAAATTAGATCGAAAACTACATATTATCTCTTGTTCCAAGAGGGAAATGTGGCACTGACTAGGGGGTTTGCCAGCCTCCAGGAAAGCCACGTTTTGGAGACCAGAAGGTGAGGTGTGCATGGTGTCCTCTGTGGGGGACTCTGCAGGGGTATGGGAGAAGCCTGGTCAGCAGCTTCTCTGCCTGCTCTGAGGGACAAGGAGGGACTTCTCTGTCTGCTCTGAGGGACAGGCATCTGTCCTGGCCCTCTGTGCACCCTGGTGCTGCATAGGTCTGGAGGCACTTGCTGTAAGGGAAAGAGTGGGTCTGGGGCAGATGGGAGAGCCACGTGTTGACTTTGCACTGGCCTGGGCCATGAGATCCTGCACCCTGTCTGCGGCTCTCTGACTTTGCACTGCCCTGGGCCATGAGATCCTGCACCCTGTCTGAGGCTCTCTGACTTTGCACTGCCCTGGGCCATGAGATCCTGCACCCTGTCTGAGGCTCTCTGACTTTGCACTGGCCTGGGCCATGAGATCCTGCACCCTGTCTGTGGCTCTCTTGACCTGACATTGGATGGGCTTTGTGTTTCACTATTTGGTGGTTGGCACCGTCTCGGCACTGCTGGGGTGTGGGGTGATGCTCCCCATGTAGAGACTTGTCTGGCCAGGTGCTACGGCCATGTCCTGACGATGCAGGAGAGAGACCACCGGTCAACACCCTCGGTCTTGGACTTCCAGCCTCGGAACTGTGAGAAAATAAATGTGTGCTGTGCAGGTCGCCTGGTCTGAGGTCAGTTGTTTCGAAGCCCTGGCAAATTCACGGGGATGTAGCCAGACAAAACTGCGGCAAAAAGGCTTTTTCAGTCCTTGGAATGTTCTCATCCTTGTGGAGCGGCAGCGAGCTCCGTACTTGCTTCGCGTTTTGAGATTCCAGGTTTTGTCACTCGTTCATTCACAGACTCGCTCTGTGAGGCCACACGCAGTACCACACTGGCACCTGTCCTGTCCACAAGAGCATGGGCTGCAGAGCTGGGCATGGCTATCCCACGTCCCAAGAGGAGCTGGGTGCAGCAACCTCTGTTCCGAGAGGGGCTGGGCTCTGCGCCCTTTTTGTCCCCCTCCGTCCTCACCATTTCACTGCGTGGCTGGAACACAGGGACGCCCATGCACTCCAATGGTGCCGTCATCCCCTCCACGCATGGCATGTCCCTTATGCTGAGTGCCCAGAGTTGTTCCCTCCCCAGTAGCCAGGCTCCAAAACCATGCCCCTGGTCCTCAGGAGCCACTGTTTCTCCCTCGCCTCCCCTGAGCCCTGCGTGTAGCCCAGCATATGTGGGCTGTCTGCCCCACCAGGCTTAGAGACATTCTCAGCACATGAACGAGGCCACTTCCTCCATGGGCATCTGTGGACCCTGTTGGGCTCGGCTGCCCTGCTTGACCTGCTACTACCCTAGCAGCCCACCCTGCATCTGCTGTGCACCTGGGCAGGTGTGTGCTGGCCGCTTCCAGCCCTCCTGAGCTCTATGTGGACCTCCTTCCTCAGCACTGAGCAGGCAGGGTGAGGGCCAGGATGTCGCCTCCCGAGGCCCTAGCCGGCCATCCGTCAGGATCCCAACAACCTCAGCCCTGCTTCTCCACCTGCGAGTCACTGGGGATGGCACTGCCCACGCCTTCCCATGAAAGCACCGAGGCTGAATTTGCTGTCCTGGGGTGACGTCCTAGGGTGACGCCGTCCAGGGTCCTGGCACTGGGCCCTGGAAAGGATGCGGTCGGCTCCTCTCCAAAGCACATTCATTCAGGAAGCTGCAGAAATGATCCACACACCTTGTTTTCAAATTCTATTAGAATCTGCTATTAAACTCTTTTCTGAATTATTTCATAGAAAATGAAAGGCAGCAGTCCCCACAGATTTCTCTCTCTTATGGCTAATTATGAGGGAAATATATGATAAAACAGAGCAGCATTTTTTTTTTAATGAAGAGTATTTTGGAAGAAAGAAAATGTTCATATAAATTTCCTTTAAGGATTAAAAAAGTAGCCATATACGGCTATCATTCTAATACATTTAGTAAAATATTTGCACTCTTCCTTTCCATGACGATCAGTTGAAGTATGTCAGGGAAATTAAATAAAATACATGTTTAGGGACCCCCCCCCCTCCATAATCCATTAGTCTAAGAAATTGTCTTAAAAGCAGCATGTCATTATTTTAGAGTTAAACAGTTAAACGTTTTTATACAGGAACATCAAAACTATATATGCTTCAAACACCAAACCTTTTTTTAATGGCTTTCAGATAAAACAATTTATTTATGCAATTAACAACAACATGCAATTTCTAATAATTAGCAGATAATAGTTATCTGCAAAGTACTTTATAAAATTGCCTTTGAACTGCATTCGTTCTGTGGGGAATCACTGAAAATTGGACTATAAAATTACCAGAAAATGTACTGCATTAACAAGAATTTTCTGTATTCGGTTTCTCTTCAAATTTATGGGCTTGAATATTTGTAAACATTTGGTTTCATAGACAGAAACCCTATCACATCACCTCTCTAAAAGGGGAAAAGCACATTTTTGTGCATTTGGTTGTTTTAGAATTTTAATTTTCTTGATTTTAACTTTGCTTTCTCTTCTCCTCCTCCCCTCCCAAACAGGGACATTATTTTGCTATTATTTCTTCTTTGAGAATTAAAAAAATTACTAATATGCCATTTTTATTGGTATACATCAGTTCTTTCAAATTCCCTTTTATAAACAATATCATAAATTCAGTAATTGTAAAGTCTTCCTATTAAACTGCACTGTCTTTGAAGAAAGAACAATAAAAAACATGAGAGAAATGTGTTGGACGAGTATCAAGAGGACACGGGACACGCAAAGGGTATTTTCTATCCTCTCCTCCTATTTTAAGAGAAATCTCCATGGCGCCCACCGACCAGCAGTGCAAATGCGTCCTGCGCGCATGAGAACGTCATTACTTAAAAGCATATTTCCATCCTGTTTCTGATGGAACATTGTCTGTTAATGGACTGTGATAACACAGTTCAAATGACAGATCCAGGCTCAGGTTTGCCAAGATGGGAAGATGAAGCCAGGGACGCCGCTCACGTGGCCTGTGGCCTGGCCCGGCTGAGCCCCTGAAGGGCCAGATACAGCCTGGAAGTCGGCTCCGCCCCAGCCGCTGTGGGAGGACTCCCCGGTCCTGTTGCATCCACAATCTGGATGCAAGTCCCACGCTGGGCCTCGGAGAAGAGGTGGCTGCTCTTGTTTGCCAAGGCAATTTGCTGACTTCTAGCAGGAAAATGGCTTTTCCCCATATGAAATGGAAATGTGGGCATTGCTAGGAGAGAAAAGATAAAAGCAAAGTGGTTCTCAAGCTGGTTCCTCTCTGGGTGACCTGGCACGCTTGCTCTCACTGTGAAAACAGCTTGGAGAGAAAGGGTGAGGGGATTTCATTGTATTGATTTAAAAGGAAAATGCAGCTTTCATGTTTTACACAGAGCCCGTGTGAACGAGAAACCTGTGTCCTTCTCTGAGCTCTGGAAGTGTCTCCTGGAAGAGGGGAGCCGGTGCCCCAGCCGGGCGCCCACCTGGGCTCTGCAGTCCCAGTCCTGCTCTGAGCTCTGGAAGTGTCTCCTGGAAGAGGGGAGCCGCTGCCCCAGCCGGGCGCCCGCCTGGGCTCTGCAGTCCCAGGGAAATGGCTGCCTCCTCACGCTTGCGGCTCAGCCTCCAGTGCTTGGGGCCAAGGTTCAGATGAAGTTAGAAAATGATCAAAAGCCATTTGCTAATTTTATGCCATACACGTAGTATACGCAGAGAAAAGACACATGTTTAGTGTCCGAAGGTGCCCCATGAAGCAGGTACGGCGTATGTGAGCCCTCTGAGGCAAGGCTCCCCACAAGAAATGCTGACTGCTCCATAGGAGACCCGGCTGTCCCATGCCTGTGGTCTGTGGTTCTGGAAACTTCTACCATGGCTGGCTCCTGGGTGGCCTCCACATGGCCTGTCCCCGATGCCCTCTGACCAGGATCCACCAATGCAACTACAGGCAGGAGGCTGTAGGGAGGACCCTGTGAGGCCTGGTGTGGCCCTCAGCTCCTGGCTAGCCTGGGCCAGGACTAAATTCCCCGTAAACTGCCCTACAGTAGTGGGTTCGGTGGCATCTCCCAACATCCACGCCCACACAGAATCTCAGAGTGTGGCCTTATCTGTAAACTGGGCCTTCGCAGAAGGACTTGATTAAATGCGGTGATGCCAGAGTTGGGTAGGCCCCGATCCACACACTGCTGTCTTAGAGGAAGGTGGCCACATGAAGCCACAAGACACCCCACAGAGAAACTGCGTGGCCATGGGGACAAGATGGGGCAGTGAGGCCACCCAAGTCACAGAACCCAGCAACTGTGGAGCCTCCAGAAGCTGGAAGAGGTGGAGGGGTTCTCCCACAGAGCCCCTGGAGGGACGTGGCCCTGCTCACACCAGATTTGGGGCCTCTGGCCGTCACCACACGACGGCAGCGCTTTGCTGTGGCAACCTCCAGGAAGCCGTCTCCAGCTGCCTGAGCCCAGTCTCTGCCTTCTCCAGGTTCTCTGCTCCATCCCCAGGCTTCCCCAGTGTCCCTGGTCTTGGCTGCCATCTGCCTTCAGGGACACCAGGTGTTTTCCCAATCAAGCTTGTGGTCCTTGGAGTGAGAGGGCCGGGTTAGCTGCACCTTTGTATTTCTAGAGTCTCCAAAGCAGACACGGGTGGACGAGGTGGTAATGCTGACACATGTGACAGTGATGCTGACACTAGTGATGGGATGACTCATGTGAAGGTGACTCTGACTCTACTCACTCTACCCCAGCAGGAGCTTCCTGAACTTGGGCAGACGTCGGTGGTGGGACAGGCAAAGCGAGGTTGGGAAGGAAAGGCAAGGAAGGGTAATAAAGCAAAACCAAGTCCCAACCTTGGTCTCAGCAGCCACTCAGTGCTGGCCTGGAGCCCAGAATCTCCCACATCCCCGGCTCGCTGAGTCATGTGATGGTGGGATGACTCCGTGACTGTGGAATGACGCATGACCGTAGGGCGACTCACTGAGGGGGATGGCGACACACTGAGGGGGATGGCGACACACTGAGGGGGATGGCAACTCACTGAGGGGGATGGTGACACACTGAGGGGGACAGTGACACACTGAGGGGGACGGTGACACACTGAGAGCGATGGTGACTCACTGAGGGGGATGGTGACACAATGAGGGGGATGGTGACACACTGAGGGGGATGTGACACACCGAGGGGGGTGGTGACACACTGAAGGGGATGGTGGCTCACTGAGGGGGATAGTGGCTCACTGAGGGGGATAGTGACTCACTGAGGGGGATGGTGACACACTGAGGGGGATGGTGACACAATGGGGGATGGTTACTCACTGAGGGGGATGGTGGCACAATGAAGGGGATGGTCACACACTGAGGGGGATGTGACACACCGAGGGGGATGGTGACACACTGAGGGGGATGTGACTCACTGAGGGGGATGGTGACACAATGAAGGGGATGGTGACACACTGAGGGGGATGTGACACACCGAGGGGGATGGTGACACACTGAGGGGGATGTGACTCACTGAGGGGGGTGGTGACACAATGAAGGGGATGGTGACACACTGAGGGGGATGGTGACTCACTGAGGGGGAAGGTGACACACTGAGGGGGATGGTGACTCACTGAGGGCGATGGTGACACACTGAGGGGGATGGTGACTCACTGAGGGGGATGGTGACACACTGAGGGGGATGGTGACTCACTGAGGGGGAAGGTGACACACTGAGGGGGATGGTGACTCACTGAGGGCGACGGTGACACACTGAGGGGGATGGTGACTCACTGAGGGGGATGGTGACACACTGAGGGGGACGGTGACACAATGAAGGGGATGGTGACTCACT